>NW_016107302.1:0-168131 GCF_000001405.40 Homo sapiens | reverse complement strand
CAGGACTATTAGGGATAAGACTGTATCCGTGAGGCTGGGCCGAGGAGGACCTACCTGCCTATTCACTGTTCTGTCCCCCGCAGGCTCTTGGTCCATTACAGCAGCATCTGTAGGAGACGGAAGTCATCAAAACCGCTTGGAGGGCCCTTCTGGGTCCTCATTTCATGGGCAGACACCAACCCACAGGGGGAGGCTGTAGGTGCCTGAGGCTCTTCAGCTGCCAACATCCAGACTCAGACATTCTATCTCTCTGAGTTCAAGACCCCATCCCATGAAGTGCTCTCAATTGGCATCCCATTGATTCTGTCTCCCACTTTCTGCCTGTCATGGAAGCTTCTGGATGTCAGTGGCTGCAGGGGATGTGAGGATACAGTTCAGAACCAGGCAATGGTCTGTGAGCTGAAGGCAGGGGCAGGTTGTCTGGTGCTCTCTCTAGAAAGCCCTGCCTCTGTGGCTCCTCCCTTGGGCCAGGGACCATCCTGCCAGTGAGGAACACACACCCGCGTGCTCCCATCCTGCTTCCCCACATGGCCCTGAGCTCTCTGGCCTCTGCTTCGTGAGACTTACTCTTTTTGTTGGAGCACCAGCGATAAAGGAGAAAGAAGAGGAGGAGGATGAAGAGGAAGATGACCACTGAGGTCCCAATCAGAACATGCAGGTGTCTGCAGATACCTGGAGGAAGATGGGAATCCAATAAGAAGCTAATCATAGCAGTTCCTCTTTATGGATTGTCTCATTTCTTGATTGACAGGTAACCACATGGAACATCTCCTTAGGACAAGCAGCCTGATGGCGGGAGACCCAGCTTTCTCCTGCTTTCTCAGTTACAGCTCTCATAGAAACCATAGAACATGCTGAGGATACAGCTGCTTTAGTTTAGATGTTTGACCCTTTGAAACCTCACACTGAAATATTGAAATTTAACCCCCAGTGTGGAAGTTTGGGCCTATGGGAAGGTGTTTGAGTCATGGAGGTGGATCCATCATGAATAGATTAATGCTGCCCCACATGATGGGGTTAGCAAGTTCCCCCTCTATTAGTTCCCGGAGGGCTGGTTGTTAAAAAGAGCTTGGAAGCTCCATCGCTCGCCCTCCCCCTTGCTCCCTCTCTTGCCATGTGATCTCTGTGGTCTCTGCACAGACAGACCCTCCTTCCCTTCTGCCAGAGTGGGAGCAGCCTGAGGCCGTCACAGGAAACAGATGCTGGTGCCATGCTTCCAGTACAGCCTGCAGAACTGTGAGGCAAACAAATCTGTTTTCTCTAGAAGTTGCCCAGGCTCTGGGATGCAAGGCTGGTTCAATATATGCAAATCAATAAATGTAATCCATCATATAAACAGAACCAAAGACAAAAACCGGACGACTATCTCAATAGATGCAGAAAAGGCCTTTGACAAAATTCAACAACGCTTCATGCTAAAAACTCTCAATAAATTAGGCATTGATGGGACGTATCTCAAAATAATAAGAGCCATCTATAACAAACCCACAGCCAGTATCATACTGAATGGGCAAAAACTGGAAGCATTCCCTTTGAAAACTGGCACAAGACAGGGATGCCCTCTTTCACCACTCCTATTCAACATAGTGTTGGAAGTTCTGGCCAGGGCAATTAGGCAGGAGAAGGAAATAAAGGGTATTCAATTAGGAAAAGAGGAAGTCAAATTGTCCCTGTTTGCAGATGACATGATTGTATATATAGAAAACCCCATTGTCTCAGCCCAAAATCTCCTTAAGCTGATAAGCAGCTTCTACAAAGTCTCAGGATACAGAATCAATGTACAAAAATCACAAGCATTCTTATACACCAATAACAGACAAACAGAGAGCCAAATCATGAGTGAACTCCCATTCACAATTGCTTCAAAGAGAATAAAATACCTAGGAATCCAACTTACAAGGGATATGAAGGACCTCTTCAAGGAGAACTACAAACCACTGCTCAATGAAATAAAAGAGGATACAAACAAATGGAAGAACATTCCATGCTCATGGGTAGGAAGAATCAAGATCGTGAAAATGGCCATACTGCCCAAGGTAATTTATAGATTCAATGCCATCCCCATCAAGCTACCAATGACTTTCTTCACAGAATTGGAAAAAACTACCTTAAAGTTCATATGGAATCAAAAAAGAGCCTGCATTGCCAAGTCAATCCTAAGCCAAAAGAACAAAGCTGGAGGCATCATGCTGCCTGACTTCAAACTATACTACAAGGCTACAGTAACCAAAACAGCATGGTACTGGTACCAAAACAGAGATATAGATCAATGGAACAGAATAGAGCCCTCAGAAATAATGCCACATATCTACAACTATGTGATCTTTGACAAACCTGAGAAAAACAAGCAATGGGGAAAGGATTCCCTATTTAATAAATGGTGCTGGGAAAACTGGCTAGCCATAGGTAGAAAGCTGAAACTGGATCCCTTCCTTACACCTTATACAAAAATTAATTTGAGATGGATTAAAGACTTAAACGTTAGACCTAAAACCATAAAAACCCTAGAAGAAAACCTAGGCATTACCATTCAGGACATAGGCATGGACAAGGACTTCATGTCTAAAACACCAAAAGCAACGGCAACAAAAGCCAAAATTGACAAACGGGATCTAATTAAACTAAAGAGCTTCTGCACAGCAAAAGAAACTACCATCAGAGTGAACAGACAACCTACAAAATGGGAGAAAATTTTCGCAACCTACTCATCTGACAAAGGGCTAATATCCAGAATCTACAATGAACTCAAACAAATTTACAAGAAAAAAACAAACAATCCTATCAAAAAGTGGGCAAAGGACATGAACAGACACTTCTCAAAAGAAGACATTTATGCAGCCAAAAAACACATGAAAAAATGCTCACCATGACTGGCCATCAGAGAAATGCAAATCAAAACCACAATGAGATACCATCTCACACCAGTTAGAATGGCGATCATTAAAAAGTCAGGAAACAACAGGTGCTGGAGAGGATGTGGAGAAATAGGAACACTTTTACACTGTTGGTGGGACTGTAAACTAGTTCAACCATTGTGGAAGTCAGTGTGGCGATTCCTCAGGGATCTAGAGCTTGAAATACCATTTGACCCAGCCATCCCATTACTGGGTATAAACCCAAAGGACTATAAATCATGCTGCTATAAAGACACATGGACACGTATGTTTATTGTGGCACTATTCACAATAGCAAAGACTTGGAACCAACCCAAATGTCCAACAATGATAGACTGGATGAAGAAAATGTGGCACATATACACCATGGAATACTATGCAGCCATAAAAAATGATGAGTTCATGTCCTTTGCAGGGACATGGATGAAATTGGAAATCATCATTCTCAGTAGACTATCACAAGGACAAAAATCCAAACACCGCATGTTCTCACTTATAGGTGGGAATTGAACAATGAGAACACATGGACACAGGAAGGGGAACATCACACTCTGGGGACTGTTGTGGGGTGGGGGGAGGGGGGAGGGATAGCATTAGGAGATATACCTAATGCTAAATGACGAGTTGATGGGTGCAGCACACCAGCATGGCACATGTATACATATGTAACTAACCTGCACATTGTGCACATGTACCCTAAAACTTAAAGTATAATAATAATAAAAATTTTAAAAAAAAGCTCATCAGAAGCACTATACAAAAAAAAAAAAAAAAAAAAAAAGAAGTAACCCAGGCTCAAGTGTTCTTTTATAGCAACAAAAATGGACTAAGACAGCAACGTCCTGAGATCAGGAGGAACGTCTCAGAACAGCCTGTGCTGTCTTCCTGTTCTTCCTGGAGGAGGACGTCATGCAGTGCTTTAGCTGAGTGCTTCCTGTGGCTTCAGGGTACAAAACCCAGGCTGGGCTATTTTCTGGCTTCCCCCAGATACACTGCAAATGAGGTGACTCCATATGTCCCGAGCAGCTTTTCTGAGCCTTGAGGGACTGGCTCACGTTGAAATGTAGGCTTCTGTTGTCACTCGCTGCTTATCTGTTAGTAATGAACCTGCCTATGTAACGTATTCTCTGTGTGTTCTGTCTCCCTGGAGTGACGGTGAGTGATAGAAATTGGCATAGGCCCAGGTGCAGTACAGCAGGTGTTTAGAGTCTTCTCTGGAAAGACTGGACTGGGATTGATACACAGTGAATGTGCTTTACAGTTTCTACATCCACAACCCTCTTGACTCAAATTACATTCTCCAAGAAAAGGACACAAAAGTGAAATCAAGATCAAAAAAGCAAAGTAGAATTCTCTTATGTCAAACAGCCAGGAAATAATGATGAAGCCCATGTGAAACGTGCTACTCTTTGTGATCTCGCGAGACACATGTTAGGCTGCTGTTCCACCTGAGAGGCTGGGGGAAAGACCACCCCCTCCACCATCTATTGCTTCAAAACCACCTGTCCTCCTGTGAATTAGTAGGAAAGGGGAGCAGGAGCTAGTGCTGGTGCTGATCTCTGATTCCAAGATCTGAACTCACTCCAAGGAGTATTAGCGTTTACCTCCCCATGATCTATCTGTATCTCCACAGGTGATTGGAAGTAGGGGTGAGGTGGGGGATTTGGGTGAGGGGGAAAGTTTCTTGTGATGAACAGAGCACTTTCCCTATTTCAGGGCCTGTGCTGGTGGGTTCAGGGGGCTTTCATATTTTCCATATGATCTCATGTTCACAGAAAGCCAAATATGGAAGAGGTTTTAGGCTGATTTTCTAATGGATAAGATAAAGGATCAAAGAAGTAATTATAGAGGAATAGAAAAATGATGATTGGAATTCAGGTGCCTGCATCATTTGTGTATATTATTATATTTATGTATTTTTTATTTTTATTTTTTGAGACAGAGTATCCCTGTGTAGCCCAGGCTGGTGTGCAGTGATGCGATCTCCACTCACTGCAACCTCTGCCTCCAGGGCTGAAGTCATTCTCCTGCTTCCTCCTCCAGAGTAGCTGGGATTACAGTCATGCACCACCATCATGCCTGTTTAATTTTTGTATTTTTAGTAGAGATAGGGTTTCTCCATGTTGGCCAGGCTGGTCTCGAACTCCTGACTTCATGTGATCCACCCGCGTTGGCCTCCTGAAGTGCTGGGTTATAGGCGTGAGCCACCGTTCACAGCCTTGTATATTATGCTATACTAGGTCCCTTCATTTGCACCACCCCTCATCTAGCTCTCCCTCCTCTGCCAGGTATTGATTTAGATGCAGGAGAAATAAATCTCAGAAATAAGTTAGTGAAGCGAGGATTAAACTACCAGGAAAAATTAAACCCAGCAAGCCTTTCCAGCCAATGATTCTACCTCACAAACATATCTTATATCCATCTACTTCATTCATTTAGTGTCTAAATCAGCACCACATTTCACCAGTGGGGCGGCAATTGCCTTTTCCACGGTCTCCTAGATTCCAGTTATGCAACTGAGCCTCCCTTATTTTCATGTCAGTCATATTAATCATGTAGGGATTCCTGGTTACCTCGAGGTGAATCCAATGGCTGTGAGTGTCAAACACACGCTCCTTGTTGCTCCTTAGTTTCCTGTGTACCCAGTGTGCTCTCCGTCTCTCTACAGTCATCTTGTCATTCTCCCCACCTCATTCCCAGCATTTCAGGCAGAGCCTCTTCCTTCCACATCAGATTGTTTTCACCTTTGTGCCTTCACGGCTGACAGCTGTGTGTGCAAAATCCTTCCGCCAATCTTTCAGGGGTTCAATCCGTGTTTTTCATTAATGTCACAAATATCTGATTAGTGAGAACTTCTCTGTCACCTGAAATAATACTCTCAGCATTATCTATTATTGATTTGAAAATTTGGCTTGGCCCCGTGGCTCATGCCTCTTATCCCAGCGTGTTGGGAGGCAGAGGCTATTGGATCACCTGAGGTTGGGAATTTGAGACCAGCCTGGCCAACATGGTGAAACATCCTCTCTACAGAAAATATGCAAAAAGAGTTAGCCGGGCGTGGTGGTTGTGGTCTGTAATCCCAGCTACTGGAGAGGCTGAGGGAGGAGATCAGTTCAGCCCAGGAGGTGGAGGTTGCAGTGAGCCGAGATCATGCCACCGCACTCTAGCCTGGACGACAGAGCAAGGCTCCGTCTCAATAAACAAGTAGGTAAATACATAAATAAATAGATTTCATGCACAGATGCTTCTCAATAGATCATTCATTTATTGGTCCCCTTGTGCCTACATTTTCTGCCCTCCCATTTAACCATCTGCAAGATCAGTGTCCCAAGAACAGAGGCCAAATGCATCTTGTTCACTGTTTGTGGAAGGCAGGAGAATGTTGTCCCACCCCAAAAATGTCCATGTCCTAGCCTCCATAGCTTGTGAATATGTTATTTTACATGAAAGGAGGAATGAAGATTGCAGATGGAATTATGGTTGCTAGTCAGCTGAACTTAAAAGGAGGGTATCCTGGATGATTTCCGGGAGATTATGATGGATTTTCATCTTGGTGAACCCAATAGAATCCCCAAGTTTTCAAAAGAAGGGCAAGAAGGGAGAGCAGCATTCAGAGAAAGAGGTGTGGTAAGGAAGAAGGGTCTGAGTGATGCCATGTGAGATGTGACCAGTCTTTGTGGGCTTTGAGGAAGGAGGAAGGGTACCAGGAGCCAAGGAACATGGGAGCCTCTAGAAGCTGAGAAAAGTGAGAAGCAGATTCTTGCCTGGAACCCTCAGAGGGAAGGCAGCCTTGCTGTCACCTTGATTTTAGCCCAGTGACATGCACGTCATGCTTTGAGCTACAGCACTGTAAGATAATTAAATAACCGTTTTGTTTTCACACACGAATCTTGTGGAAATTTGTTATGGCAACAATAGGAAAAGCTTCCACACTGCACAGCCTGAGCATGGGGCTGTGGCTGAATGAGTCACTGAGTCGAAGTGTGCGTGCATGAGCTCTGTTCTCTGTTACGGCAAGGCTCTTGCTCTGCTGAGTCAGCCAGGGTTGCCTGATGACCAACAGTAATTCATTCCTTGGCAAGTGGAACTTCTCTAAAACACCCACCCTCATCAGATGTTCCCTTCCCTTCCCTCTCTCAAGCCCCCGGGAATTTATCCTCCAGTTAGGAATGCAGGCAGAAAAAACACTGCATTTTTCCTGAGAAGGATGTCAGATTGGCAATTATTCTTCTAGCTTGTAGGAGGTCTCACCTGCAGGAAATTAAAGGTAAAGAGACTTCGCTGAGCCCTTTGGTGGCCCTAGATCCCTTTCACTGTTGGAGTGTCTGGAGTTCAGAGATGGTGGAAGACAGGCCCTCATTCACAGAGCTGGGAGGTTTGAGCCAACACTTGCATCCAAGGCTTCCACCTCCCCAGGTTTCCAAAAGCAGAGATAAGAGGGGTCCTTTACTCACCAGATTTGGAGCTTGGTTCTGTGGGTGAAGGCCAACTACTTGAAGGGTTTCCTAGAACACGGGACAGGAGAGATGTGAGGAAATGAGGGTGCTTGTCCTCTACTCAATGGAAATCTTTGAGGTTGGTTCATGGCCAACACTCTGTTATCTAATGTTGGACCCTGGGAGTCTTGGGATCCTTTTCTCCATAATTTTTGTGTGCGATGCCCACTGTCTTGAGACTTGAAGGTATAAAGAGAAAACAGGAGCATCACACTACCTGACTTAGAAATATGTTACAGAGCTGTAGTAAGCAAAACAGCATGACATTGGCATAAAGAAAGGCACATAAAAAATGGAACAGAATGGAGAACACAGATATAATCCATGCATTTACATCCAATGGCTTTCTTTTGTGTGTGTGTGATAGAATCTTGCTCTGTCATGCAGGCTGGAGTGTAGAGGTGCAATCTCAGCTCAATGCAACCTCCACTTCCTGGATTCAAGAAATTCTCTTGCTTCAAACTCCTGAGTAGTGGTATTACAGGCACTGATCACCATGCTCAGCTAATTTTTGTATTTTTAGTAGAGACGAGGTTTCACTCTGTTGGCCAGCCTGGTCTTGAACTCCTGGCTTTAGGTGATCCACCCGCCTCGGCCTCCCAAAGTGCTGGAATTGCAGGTGTGAGCCACCATACCCAGCCCATTTAATGGACTTTGACAAAGGTGCCGAGAACTTACAATCAGGAAAGGACAGTCTTCAATAAATGGTGTGGGGAAAACTGGATATCTACATGCAGAGGAATAAAACTGCATCTATACCTGTCACCTTACACAAAAATCAAATGAAAATGGATTAAAAACATGAGTCTAAGGCCTGAACCTATGAAACATGTAGAAGAAAATAATGGGGAAGACATTTGTCTGACGAAAGACATTTTGTTTAAAACCTTCAAAACACAAGTAATCAAAGCAAAAAATAGACCATTAGGATTACATCAAACCAAGCAACTTCTGCACCACCAAAGATAAACCAACAAAGTGAAGAGACAACCCACAAAATAGGAGCAAATATTTGCAAACTATTCATCTGAGATGGGATTAATAACTGGAAATATAAGAAGCTCAAACAACTCAATAAAACAATTTAATTAAAAAACGAGCAAAAGACATGAGGAGACATTTCTCCACAAACAAAACATAGAAATGGCGATCACGTATATGAAAAAGTGCTCAGCATCACTCATCATCACAGAAATGTAAATTACAATCGCGATGAGTTTTCATCTCATCCCATTAAAATGCCTTTTAGGCCGGTGGCTCACGCCTGTAATTCCAGCACTTTGGGAGGCGGAGGTGGGCGGATCACCTGAGGTCGGGAGACCAGCCTGACCAACATGGAGAAACTCCCTCTCTACTAAACATACAAAAATTAGCTAGGCGTGGTGGCACATGCCTGTAATCCCAGCTACTTTGGAGGCTGAGGCAGGAGAATCAGTTGAACGCGGGAGGCAGAGGTTGCAGTGAGCCGAGATCACACCCTTGCACTCCAGCCTGGGCGACTATGAGTGAAACTCCATCTCAACATAAATAAATAAATAAATAAAGTAAAGTAAAATGGCTTTTATCTGCAAGACAGGCAAAACAAATGCTGGCAAGATGGTAGAGAAAGGAGAACCCTGGTACCCTGTTGGTAGGAATGTAAATTAGTACAACTATTATGGAGAAAAGTATGGAAAATCTTTAAAAAACTAAAAGGAGGCTGGGCATAGTGGCTTATGCCTGTAACTTCAGCACTTTGGGAAACCGAGGCAGGCACCTCACTTGAGGTCAGGAGTTTGAGAGCAGCCTGCCCAAAATTGGGATATCCCGTCTGTGCTAAAAAATACAAGAATTAGTCAGGCATGGTGGCGTGCACCTGTAATCACAGCTATTAGGGAGGCTGAGTCAGGACAATCGTTTGAACCTAGGAAGCAGAGGTTGCAATGAGCCAAGATCGCACCACTTTGACTCCAGCTTGGACTAAGGAGGGAAACTCTTTCTCAAAAAAGAAAAAAAAAAAAAGAGAACTTTCATAGTGTCCAGCAATTTCACTACTGGGTTTATATCCAAAGGAAAGGACATCAGTGTATCGAAGTGATATCTGCACTCATATGACTGTTCCAGCACTGTTCACAGTAGCCAAGATGTGGAGTCAACCTACCTGCCTATCAGTGGGTGAATGGATAGAGAACTGTAGTACACACACACGGTGGAGACTACTCATCCATAGAAACAATAACATCCTGTCATTTGCAGCCACATGGATGGAACTGGAGGTCATTACAAAGATTCCCATTTCTCACCACATGCAGGAGATAAAAGGTGGATCTCATGAAGGTAGAGAATAGAATGGTGGATACCAGAGGCCAGGAAGGGAAGGGTGGAAGGTAACAAAAAAAAGAATATAGATGTATTTATTTATTTAGAAACAGAGTCTCTCTCTGTCTCCCAGGCTGCAGTGCAGTGGCATGATCTCGGCTCAGTGCAACCTCTGCCTCCTGGCTTTAAGTGCTTCTCCTGCCTCAGCCTCCCAAGTAGCTAGGACTACAGGTGCATGCCGGCATGCTTGGCTAATTTTTCTTGTCTGTTTAGTAAAGATGAATTTCCCGCATGTTGGCCAGGCTGATCTCGAGTCCCTGATCTTAAATGATCCACCTTTCTTGGCCTCTCAAAGCGCCAAGATTACAACCGTGAACCACCACACCCAGCATATAAAGGTATTTATGACCACTAGATTTTACTTTTAAAAATGGTAAAGTTGGTAAATTATATAGTTACATTTAACCTCAATAAATATTTTTGAAAATGAAAAGAAAAGAGTGTAGGGGTTGCTGGTGATGACATCTCTCTGTGTGGGTGAGAGGCCAGGATGGGCTTCTGGGAAATGGGTAAGGTTGAGGGGCTGAGGGAACCTCTGATCTCCCCAAACTGAGCCCAGTCTCCCCTTCTCTGGGTCTGTCCTGACCGCTTTCTCCATCTGCCTGGGTGCCTGGAGCCCTGACCATGGGCCTCCATGCAGGCCATGCAAGAGGGTTTGGAGGTGCCCTGTCTGCCATCCTGCACCCTGACCCCCCCTCACACCCAGTCTTCGTGTTCTCTCTGCATCTGTCCATGCTTCTCCCCATCATCGGCAGGAAGCTCCTCAGCTATGGCTCTAGGATCATAAGACATGGGACAGACACGGGTTTTCCTCACCTGTGACAGAAACAAGCAGTGGGTCACTTGAGTTTGACCACACGCAGGGCAGGGCACGGAAAGAGCCGAAGCATCTGTAGGTCCCTCCGTGGGTGGCAGGGCCCAGAGGAAAGTCTGCCTGGAATGTTCTGTTGACCTTGGGCACTGCACGGAGCCTACGTTCATGGGCCTCCCCTTCCCTGGACAGATGGTAGATGTCATAGGAGCTCCAGGAGCTACAGGACAAGGTCACGTTCTCTCCTGCCTGAACCGTGGGGCCCGGCTGGGCTGAGAGAGAAGGTTTCTCATATAGACCTGGAAGGAGAAGAGGCAGTTTCCTCAGGGAGGTTCTTCCTTGTCACAGCTCCCCTCATACCTGAGCTGAGAACTCACTCCCCTGCTCTATGACCTAATGCTCTCTCTCTCTCTCACCCTCCACCCCAACTCTCTTCATGTCTATTTCCTCCTTCCGCCTTCTCTGTCTCTCTAGGTCTCTGACCTCACTTCCCCACCCCTGGGTATGCTTTCCCTTTTTGGATTGTTTTATTCTCTCTGACTCTCCTTGGATTGGTTGACTTGATCTTCCTTTTTCTATAATTCTGAGTCTCTCACTTTCTGTCTTGTTCATAACTTTCTGCATATTTCTATCTATTATCTATCTATCTATTTTGTGTCTATCTACAAATTATCTGTCATCTATATCTATGTATCATTTATCTATCAATTGTCTATCTGTCTATCCATCAATCATCTATGTATTATCTGTATCTATGTATCATCTCTCTCTCTCTCTATTACCTCTCTGTCTGCCTGTCAGTCTCTATGTATCATCTATGTATCTATATATTTATATATGTGTCTTCTATCTATCTTCATCATCATCATCATCATCATCTCTATGTATCATCTATCAATCATCATCTATGTATCTATAACCTATCCATTATCTATCATCTACCTATTTATCATCTATCTATATCTATCTATCCATCTATCATCTGTCTCTCTCCATCTCCTTGTCTTTCTCTGCCTCTCAGTCTCTCTAGTTCTATTTGGAATCTCTGCAATCCATCCCCACATCTTTATCTTTCTCTGTCTTTGTGCCCCTCCCTCAGGGTTCTGATTTTGGGGCTTTTCTCTCCTCCCTTCCAGCATTCTCTCCACTCCTCTGCCCTCTTTTCTTTCTTTTTGTGTGTCTGTGAGTCTCTCAATCCCCTTCCTCTGGCTCATTCTCTGTGTGTTTATGCCTTTGCTTTTTGAAGTCCCTGATTTATCTCTGTGTCTCTCAGTGATCCTATTATATGTAGGATTATTTGGAATATGAGCCTCAGAATCTAGTCTGGGGACACCAAGTACACACAGTATTTAGGGGTTGGTGTTCTGGGGCCATGATATCCTGGGATAATTATGGCTCCACTGCATGGAAGGCAGAGGTGTCAGAATAAACATGGCATCTGTAGATGCCACAAGGCCTGAGGCCACAGGGCCCAACTCAGGTCAGAAATATGGGTGTCCTTGGGTTCTCCTCGTAGAAGCACTTTGTGGAGACAAAACAGAAATGAAACTTCTAACCTGTGCCAGGTCTCTGAGCAAAGTCAGCATGGAAGGACACTTCTCTCTGGCACATGTCTGTCTGTCTGAGTGTCTCCTTTACCTCTTTCTCTCTTTTCTACTTCCCCGTATGGCCCCTGTGTCTGTCCTCTGTTATGACACCTGGTCTGTACTTATGTCTCCTGTTTCCCTGTCTCTGTTGGTACAGACCTCACCGAGTCAGTCTCTCTCCATAAGAATCCCACGCTTATCTTCCTCATGACCACCTGGGGGTTCCAAGTCCTGGATCATTCACTCTGTGTCCCAATGACAATGAGAAGAATGTCTGGACACTCTCACCTGTGATCACGATGTCCAGGGGGTCACTGGGAGCTGACAACTGATAGGGGGAGTGAGGAACAGAACCATAACATCTGTAGGTTCCTGCAAGGACAGGCATCAAGGGACCGATGGAGAAGTTGGCCTTGGAGACCCCATCATGGATCTGTCCAACGAGGCGTGAGGGGTCCTCAGAGATCCCCTCTCTGTGCAGAAAGAAGTGCTCAAACATGACATCTGACCAACATTGCAGGATGACTGTCTCTCCTGATTTCAGCAGGGGCCCTGGGTGGGCCAGGAGGGAAGGTTTTCTGTGGTTTCCTAGAAAGAGAAGTTGTGAGTTTAGAAGGCATCTCTCTTTATCATCCCATCCATGGCACCTGGAATGAGTGAGGGTTCCCCTCCCAGAGGTCTGTCTCTCTCCTCCCTCTCTGTGTCTCCGTGTCTTTTCTGTGCCCATATCCCCTGGTGCAGGTCCCTCCATTTGTCTTCCTCCCTCTTCTCTGTCCCTCTGTCTCCAGTAGCCCCTGACTCCCTTCCCACTGTGAAGAGAGCCTCATCTCTTGGGCTGTTGTATCTCTTTCCCACTAGTCTCTTTCCTGCTGTCTATGTGGGGGTGGAAGAGGACAGGCTGCATGTCCAGGCTCTCAGCAGCCTGAATCAATCTCTTTTGAACAAATTGGAGTCTCTGGCAGAGGTATCAACTCATCAGTAAGGCAGACATCAGTGTCCACACACCCTGTTCCTGATGGGGATTGGGAGCCTCTCCTGCCATGTCTGTGCCTTCTCCATGGCCCCAGCTTCCATAGGGTGGTCCCTGGTGCTGGTTCCAGGAGCATCAACCCCTTCCTATGTGGATGGAGCCTGGTGGTGGCATCAGCATCCCACCCTTGCTGATCCCACGGTAGCCAACCTTCTCCTTGTTTGGTTTCTTTAATTAATTGATTAATTAATTTATTTTTGAGACAGTCACTTTTTCACCCAGGCTGGAGTGCAGTGGTGTTGTCTTGGCTCACTGCAACCTCTGCCTCCCCGGTTCAAGTGATTATCTTGCCTCAGCCTCCCCAGTCGTTGGATTACTCGTGCCCACCACCACACCTGGCTATCCTTGTTTGGTTTCCTAGCTTGTCCTTGACCTGGGTTCCTGTGTCGGTTTCCTGTTGCTGCTGCAGAAAATTATCACAAACATGGCAGCAGGAGAGAACACACTGACCCCTTCCACTTCTGGGGACAGAAATTGGATCCAGTTCTCCCTGTGCTGAAATCAAGGCATCTGCAGGGCTGCGTTCCCTCTGGAGAATCAGCGAATCAGTTCTCTTGACTTCTCCAGCCCTTAGAGGCCACCTGCATTCTGTGACTAGTGGCCTTCCTCCACCTTCAAAGCCCACAGTGGCTGATAGCGTCTCCCTCCCACTACACTGCTCTAATCCCCACTCCCCTCTTCCTCCACCTCTCACGCGGACCCTTGTGATTACACTGAGCCCAGCAGGACAGTCCAGGCTGTCTCCCCATCTCAAGGTCAACTCATCAACAACCTGAGCTCCACCTTCCCCTTCAGTCCCCTGCCCTATAACATAAATAGTCACAGGCTCCAGGGTTTACAATGTAGCCATCATTGGCGACAGTTATTCTTCCCACCACAGCGCCCATTTCCCCTGTATTCAATCCCCCTTGACCCCAAATACAGTTGGGGCCTGGGTGATGGGACCCTGATGGACACCCCCACCAGAAGCTCTGGGATTCAGGAGGTGGGACAGTGAGAAGCCCAGACAGAAAGCCTCTGACCTGTGACCATGATCACCAGGGGGTTGCTGGGTGCCGACCACCCAGTGAGGGAGTGTGGGCGTGAACCCCGACATCTGTAGGTCCCTGCATGTGCTGGGGTCACAGGGCCCATGATGAAGCTCTCCTGGAATATTCTGCCGTGGAAGATGGGAACGTGGCTTCTGTCTTCTTTGTACAGCATGAAATTGTTAAACCCACGACGATAGTGACACTGAAGAGCCACGTGTCCTCCTCGAGGCACCACAGTGCTGGGCCGGGCAGACAGGAAGGGTTTGTCCTGACCACCTGGGGGAGAAGGAGGCACTGCCTTAGAGAGGAGGATGTGGAGCCGCCCCTCCCTCCCTGTGCTCAGAAGATTCTCCCATTTCCACTTTCTAAGGCTCCTACCACACCTGGGTGCCCAGGGCTACAGGAAGGACCCACCCCACATAGACATGGCGTCTCCCTACAACAAGTGTCAGCTGAGAACTTTGAGCAAGTGCTGAATAAGTGACTCTTACTAGATTTTAATACTGCAAAATTACTCACATAAAACAACACAAAGTAGACACGGCATGGAGGGCATGTCCTATGTGAATGGAATATCAGCCAATTCATGAACTGAGCCCCCTCAGAGGATTTGGAATGTCAGGGCCATGGCTGTGGTTTCCCCCCTCTTCTGGTAGAAAGACCGCAGCCACACTGCAGTCCCTACCGTCACGGAAACGCTGGAGGGTGTCAGTTATACCTTTGTCCTCAGAGGACCTGCTGTTCCTAGCACTGCATCCCTCTCTTTCTCTGCTGCTGACACCACTTCCTCCCTGCACACCCCAGCTTGGAGCACCCCAGTCTCACCCCAGTCTTCACAGAGCTTGACTCAGGAAAGGGAAAGAAAGGCCGGGGAGGGCGAGGTCAGAAATGTGGGCCGAGTATCCAAGGGTCCCCTCTTCCTAGTTTATGAGAGACTCCCCGACAGGACTTCCCTCCTGTTTCAGAAAAATCCTCTTATGTGGGGAGATGACACCCTAAGGTTTGGGGAAGGACTCACCCATGAGTGGCCAGGCCCCCTGCAGCAAGAAGAACCCTGGAAAGAAAGATCATGATAGACGATCCAACTGCAGGCAAACCAGGGCACCCTGCTGCCCCCACTGCACTGTGTGTCTTGGCAGCCAGGCCCTTGCTGGGCTGAAGGTAAACTTAGCCTCCCTGCTACCTGCTGCCAAGAACAGGGCTCTCAGCTGTGGAGAGACCCAGGCTCCAGGCCCAGATCAACACTTCCTGGCCCAGATCTCCACTCCAGGCCCATATCTCCACTCCAGGCCCCTATCTCCACTCCAGGCCCATATCTCCACATCAGACCCATATCTCCACTCCAGGCCCATATCTCCACATCAGACCCATATCTCCACTCCAGGCCCAGATCTCCCCTCTAGGCCCATATCTCCACTCCAGGCCCATATCTCCACTCCAGGCCCATATCTCCACATCAGACCCATATCTCCACTCCAGGCCCATATCTCCACTCCAGGCCCAGATCTCCACCTGCAGGCCCATATCTCCACCCCAGGCCCATATCTCCACTCCAGGCCCGTATCTCCACTCCAGGCCCATATCTCCACACCCAGGCCCATATCTCCCCTCCAGGCCCATATCTCCACTCCAGGCCCATATTTACACCTCCAGGCCCATATCTCCACACCCAGGCCCATATCTCCACTCCAGGCCCATATCTCCACTCCAGGCCCATATCTTTACCTCTAGGCCGAGATCTCCATCCCCACTCTCCCTCCCTCTATTCCCTTCCAGGACTCACCAACGCACGCCATGCTGACGACAGTGAGCGACATGGTGCTGCCGGTGCAGACAGGAGGCCGCGCCCCAGCTCAGCTCAGCAGCGCACAGGATGTTATTTGGCGCCCTGCCCATGCAGTTTACATGTTGACCACATCATGGGAGGGTGACGTACGCAGGCTCTTTCTACCTTGCATGAGGCCCAGTGGGTGCTCGCTCAAGAGCGGAACATGGCTTCCTGGAAATTGTTGTGACTACAATTGCCACCTTGCATCCTTCACTATGACCAGACTCAAAAGACGTCTCAGATCCAACCTCTCACACATGAGGTGATTGAATTCTGTGCTTACATTAAAGACTTTTGATGTATTTTTGTTTTTATCTGAGATTCAAACTTTTCTTCATGTGTAATGTGCAAAATATCTAAGAGGTATTATTAACATTATCAGAGTAATTGTGACAAAAAGCCATTCTAATTTTCCTGATGAGTTTCTAGTACTAAACCTGAGGCACGAGAATTGCTTGAACCTGGGAGGCGGAGGCTGCAGTGAGCTGAGCTCAAGCCACTGAACTCCAGCTTGGGTGACCGAGGAAGAGTCTGTCTCAAGAAAGAAAAAAAAAAGCAAACTAAATAACCTATAATAACAAATCAGAGAACTCAGGTTACCAAATTTTAAGGGGTTCTATAAGTTTATATGAAATGCAGCATCCTCATGAGAGGGGATACAGAGAACCACTGGGCAGAAAACTGTGTCTAAAATACATCTGTGGATACACAGTCCCTTTATAGTTGACAAAGGCTGCCATGTAGTTTAAGGTGGAATAGAATATTTTCTCAATAAATAACACAGGACCATAGGGTTACACGTAGGAAAAAATAAATCTAAACTTATCCTCACACTATAAAAACACTTCTTATTTTTTATCTTGTTGTTGTAAACTTTTTATGCTTTATTTTTAAGATTGACAAATAAAAATTATATACTGTGGTCCTTCACTATTCCTGGGTGATTGGTTCCAGGATCCCCATTCAGATACCAAAATCTGCAGATGCTCAAGCCCCTTGCATGAAATGGCATAGCGAAGCTGGGCACCGTGGCTCACGCCTGTAATCCCAGCACTTTGGGAGGCTGAGTTGGGTAGATCACGAGGTCAGGAGTTCAAGACCAGCTGGTCCAACATTCTGAAACCCCATCTCTACTAAAAATACACACACAAAAAAATTTATCTGTGCATGGTGGCACGTGCCTGTAATCCTAGGGGAGGCTACTGGGGAGGCTGAGGGAAGACAATCGCTTGAACCTGGGAGGCGGAGGTTGCAGTGAGCTGAGATCATGCCACTGCACTCCAGCCTGGGTGAGAGAGTGAGACTGTCTCAAAAAAAAAAAATAGCATAGTAATTGCATAGAACCCATGCACATCCTCCTGTATACATGAAATCATCTCTTGATTACTTATAATTCCTGACACAGCCTACACGCCACTCAATTTGTGTCGATTCAACATAGTTTTTTGCTTCTTGAAACTTCGGGGATTTTTTTCTGAAAATATTTTTGATTTATTGTTGGTTCAATAAACACCTGTAAACCCCACAGATATGGAGGACCGACTGTATATTTATATTATGAAAGATGATATGTTGATATGTGTCCCCGTGGAGATGAGGCTAACAAGGCCTATGACTCTACAAATGTTTCATCGTGGAATGACTCTGCCAGCTTTCCAGGTCTGCAGAGAGTAAGAATATCACTTGTTCATGTGATTCACGATCCTTGGAGCCTCCTATGTGCTGTATCTTTGGATGGAAATTGGAGTCTCAGAGACAAATCAGGCTCCATTCTGCTTCCAGAAGCTCAGAGTCCAGGGCTGAGAACCCAATGGAGAACAGATGGGGTTATGTGGACACGGTAATGATAACACCGGAAGCCTTAGGCAAGAAAAGAGTCTCGTTACCGAAACCATGAGGGCAGACATGTTTATTTGAAGGCGGGAAAACTACATTGAAATTATTTAAAAAATTTATAAGTTTTACTGCTGGCAGAAGGCTGAAAGATAGTCTGAAGGGAGGTGGAACAGCACGTGTCTAAGTGCTGTGTTAAGAGGCAGCCTCTTGTATGTTTGGAATTGTGAGTTCCTCAGTGTGATTGCAGCCTCAGGTAGACTAGGAAGTAAGCCAGTTAGGTTGGAGAGGTGGGCAGGGGTCAAGTGAAATGGAGAATTGTGGGCTAAGCAAAGGAGTGTGTTTTCTCTCCAGCAGGCAGTGGGGACCTTAGACATTTGTAAGCAAGAGAGAGGCATGTTCAGATTCGTGGTGTGAGGAAGAGCGATGCCCTAAGATGAAGACTGATGCCTTCAGATTCCAGCTGCTGGTACATGGGAGCTGGCAACCCGGTTTTGAGACAGGGCTGTTGTCTCCCTAGAAGATCCCCTCAAGGCCTGACTGTGGTGCTCGTGGACAGAAGACAACTTTGGATCTGGGCTCAGCATTTGGAAGTTCTATGTACATGCTGGTATCTGTTGGGGGTGTCTTGGGCCTCTCAGAAGGGCGAGTGATTTTTCTCTGTGTGAAAACACAGTGATCCAATTATGCGTATGACACCTCCTGATGGTCTTGTTCATCAGAATCCTGGAGAGAGGGAAATGCTGAGTGAGGGAGGGTGCTCACATTTTTCAGGACTCTTTGGGAATAAGACTAGCCACGAGGCTGGGCCGAGGAGCACCTACCTCGCTGTTCACTGTTCTGTTCCCTGCAGGCTCTTGGTCCATTACAGCAGCATCTGTAGAAGACGGAAGTCAACAAAAGAGCTCGGAGGGCACTTCTGGGTCCTCATTTCATAAGCAGATACCAACAAACAGGGGGAGGCCATAGGTGCCTGAGGTCCCTCAGTTGCCAACAGCAGACTCAGACATTCTATCTCTCTGAGTTCAAGGACCCATCCCATGAATAGCTCTGAGGTCCCATCCCATTGATTCTATCTCCCACTTTCTGCCTGTCATGGAACCTTCTCCTGGATGTGAGTGGCTGCAGGGGACGTGAGGATACAGTTCAGAATCAGGCAATGGTCTGTGAGCTGAAGGCAGGGGAAGGGAATCTGGTGCTCTCTCTAGAAAGTCCTGCCTCTGTGGCTCCTGTCTTGGGCCAGGGACCATCCTGCTGGTGAGGAACACACATCCGCGTGCTCCCATCCTGCTTCCCCACATGGCCCTGAGCTCTCTGGCCTCTGCTTCGTGAGACTTACTTTTTTTGTCGGAGCACCAGCGATGAAGGAGAAAGAAGAGGAGGATGGTGAAAGGGATTTTGACCACTGAGGTCCCAATCAGAACATGTAGGTGTCTGGGGTTACCTGGAAGAAGAGGAGACACCAATAAGAAGCTAATCATAGCAGTTCCTCTTTATGAATTGTCTCGCATTTCTTGATTGGCAGGTAACCACATACAACGTCTCTTTAGGACAAGCACCCAAATGGCGGGAGACCTAGCTTTCCCCTGCTTTCTCAATTATAGCTCTCATAGTAACCATAGAACGTGCTGAGGATACAACTACTTTAGTTGAGATGTTTGACCCTTTCAAACCTCACATTGAAATTTCACCCCCATTGTGGGAGGTTGGGCCTCTTCAGAGGTGTTTGGGTCATGGAGGTGGATCCATCATGAACAGACCAATGCTGTCCCAAGGAGACGGGGTTAGCAAGTTCCCCCTCTGTTAGTTCCTGGAGAGCTGGTTGTTAAAAAGAGCTTGGAAGCTCCATCGCTCCCTCTCCCCCTTACTCTCTCTCTTGCCGTGTGATCTCTGCGGTCTCTGCACAGACAGACCCTCCTTCCCTTCTGCCAGAGTGGGAGCAGCCTGAGGCCATCACGAGAAATAGATTCTGGTGCCATGCTTCCAGTACAGCCTGCAGAACTGTGAGGCAAACCAATCTCTTTTCTTTAGAAGTTACCCAGGCTCAAGTGTTCCTTTAGAGCAACAAAAATGGACTAAGATAGCAACATCCTGAGATCAGGAGGAATGTCTCAGAACAGCCTGGGCTGTCTTCCTGTTCTTCCTGGAGGAGGACGTCATGCAGTGCTTTAGCTGAGTGCTTCCTGTGGCTCCAGGGTACAAAACCCAGGCTGGGCTGCTTTCTGGCTTCCCCCAGTTACACTGCAAATGGGGTGACTCCATATGTCCCGAGCAGCTTTTCTGAGCCTTGAGGGACTGGCTCACATTGAAATGCAGGCTTCTGTTGTCACTCACTGCTTATCTGTTAGTAATGAACCTGCCTATGTAACGTATTCTCTGTGTGTTCTGTCTCCCTGGAGTGACGGTGAGTGATAGGAATTGGCATAGGCCCAGGTGCAGTCCAGGATTTGTTTAGAGTCTTCTCTGGGAAGACTGCACTGGGATTGATACACAGCGAATGTGCTTTAGGATTTCTACATCCACAGCATTCTTGAGTCAAACAAATTGCATTCACCAAGGAAAGGAAACAAAGGTGAAATCACGATTAAAAATAGCGAAGCAAGATTCTCTTATGTCAAACAGCCAGAAAATAGTGTTGAAGCCCGTGTGAAATGTGCTGCTCTTTGTGATCTCGGGAGACACATGTTAGGCTGCTGTTCTACCCGAGAGGCTGGGGGAAGGACCACCCCCTCCACCATCTATTGCTTCAATACCACCTGTCCTCCTGTGAATTAGTAGGAAAGGGGAACAGGAGCTAGTGCTGTCGCTGATCTCTGATTCCAAGATCTGGACTCACTCCAAGGAGTATTAATGTTTCCTCCCCATGGTCTATCTGAATCTCCACAGGTGATTGGAAGTAGGGGTGAGGTGGGGGATTTGGGTGAGTGGGCAAGTTTTTTTTTGCGATGACCAGAGCACTTTCTCTATTCCAGGATCCGTGCTGGAGGATTCAGCGGGCTTTCACATTTTCTATGTGATCTCATGCTCACAGAAAGCCAAATAGGGAAGAGGTTTTAGGCTCATTGCCTAATGGATAAGATAAAGGATCAAAGAAGTAATTATAGAGAAATAGAAAAATGATGATTGGAATTCAGGTGCCTTTGTCATTCGTGTGTGTTTTATTATATTTATGCATTTCTTATTTTTATTTTTTGAGACGGAGTCTCCTTGTGTCACCCAGGCTGGAGTGCAGTGATGCAATCTCCACTCACTGCAACCTCCACCTCCTGGGTTGAAGTCATTCTCCTGCTTCATCCTCCAGAGTAGGAGCTGGGATTACAGGGATGCACCACCATGCTCGGCTAATTTTTGTATTTTTAGTAGAGACAGGGTTTCACCATGTTGGCCAGGCTGGTCTGGAACTCCTGACTTCATGGAATCCACCCGCCTTGGCCTCCTGCAGTGCTGGGTTACAGGCGTGAGCCACCGTTCACAGACTTGTATATTATGCTATAATAGGTCCCTTCATTTCCACCACCCCTCATATATCTGTCACTCCTTTGCCAGGTATTGATTTATGTGTAGGATGAATAAATCTCAGAAAGAAATTAATTAAGCGAGGATTAAACAAGTAGGAAAATCAAACCCAGCAAGCCTTTCCAGCCAATGATTCTACCTCACAAACATAGCTTATATCCATCTGCTTCATCCACTTAGTGTCAAAATCAGCACCACATTTCACCAGTGGGGTGGCAATTGCCTTTTCCACAGTCTCCTAGATTCCAGTTACGCACCTGGGCCTCCCTTATTTTCATGTCAGTCACTATTAATCATGTAGGGATTCCTGGTTACCTCGAGGTGAATCCAACGGCTGTGAGTGTCAAACACACACTCCTTGTTGCTCCTTAGTTTCCTGTGTACCCAGTGTGCTCTCCGTCTCTCTACAGTTGTCTTGTCATTCTCCCCATCTCATTCCCAGCATTTCAGGCAGAGCCTCTTCCTTCCACATCAGATTGTTTTCAGCTTTCTGCCTTCACGGCTGACAGCTGTGTGTGGAAAATCCTTCCGCCAATCTTTCAGGGGTTCAATCCGTGTTTTTCATTAATGTCACAAATATCTGATTAGTGAGACCTTCTCTGTCACCCAAAATTATACACTCAGCATTATCTATTATTGATTTTGAATTCTGGCTGGGCACAGTGGCTCACGTCTTTTATCCCAGTACTTTGGGATGCTGAGATGGTTGGATCACTTGAGGTTGGGAGTTTCAGACAAGCTTGGCCAACATGGTGAAACATCCTCTCTACAAAAAATATACAAAAAGAATTAGCCGGGCATGGTGGCAGTTGCCTGTAATCCCAGCTACTCGAGAGGGTGAGGCAGGAGAATCACTTGGATCCAGGAGACGCAGGTTGCAGTGAGCCAAGATCGTGACACTGCACTGTAGCCTGGAAGACAGAGGGAGACTCTGTCTCAATAAACAAACGAACAAACAAACAAATAGATTTCATGCACAGATGCTTCCCAATGGATCATTCATTTATTGGTCCACTTGTGCATTCATTTTCTGTCCTCCCATTTAACCATCTGCAATATCAGTGTCCCAAGAGCAGAGGCCAAATGCATCTTGTTCACCATTTGTGGAAGGCAGGAGAATGCTGTCCCACCCCAAAATGTCCCTGTCCTAGCCTCCATAGCTTGTGAATATGTTATTTTACATGGAAAGGAGGAATGAAGATTGCAGATGGAATTATGGTTGCTAATCAGCTGAACTTAAAACAAGGGTATCCTGAATGATTTCCGGGAGATTATGACGGATTTTCATCTTGGTGAACCCAATAGAATCCCCAAGTTTTCAAAAGATGAGGAAGAAGGGAGAGCAGCATTCAGAGAAAGAGGTGTGGTAAGGAAGAAGGGTCTGAGTGATGCCATGTGAGATGTGACCAGTCTTTGTGGGTTTTGAGGAAGGAGGAAGGGGACCAGCAGCCAAGGAACTGGGAGCCTTTATAAGATGGGACAAGTGAGAAGCAGATTCTTGCCTGGAATCCTCAGAGGGAAGGCAGGCTTGCTGTCATCTTGATTTTAGCCCAGTGAGATGCACTTCATGCTTTGAGCTAGAGCACTGTAAGATAATTAAATAACCGTTTTGTTTTCACCCACGAATCTTGTGGAAATTTGTTATGGCAACAATAGGAAAAGCTTCCACACTGCACAACCTGAGCATGGGGCCGTGGCTGAATAAGTCAGTGAGTCAAAGTGTGCGTGCATGAGCTCTGTTCTCTGTTACGGCAAGGCTCTTGCTCTGCTGAGTCAGCCAGGGTTGTTTCATGACCAACAGGAGCTCATTCCTTGGCAAGTGGAACTTCTCTAAAACACCTCGCCCTCATCAGATGTTCGCTTCCCTTCCCTCTCTCAAGCCCCCAGGAATTTATCCTCCAGTTAGGAATGCAAGCAGAACAAACATTGCATTTTTCCTGAGAAGGATGTCAGATTGGCAATCATTCTTCTAGCTTGTAGGAGGTCTCAGCTCCATAAAATGAGAGATGAAGAGATTTCACTGAGCCCTGTGTTGGGCCCAGATCCCTTTCGCTGTTGGAGTATCTGGAGTTCGGAGATGGTAGAAGACAGGCGTACAATGTCAGAGCTGTGAGATGCTGAGTCAACGCCTGAATCCAAGGTTTCCACCTCCCCAGGGTTCCAAAAGCGGATATAAGAGGGTCCTGTACTCACCGGTTTTGGAGCTTGGTTCAGTGGGTGAAGGCCAACTATTTGAAGGGTTTCCTAGAACATGAGACAGGAGAGAGGTGAGGAAATGAGGGTGTCTGTCCTCTACTCAGTGGAAATCTTTGAGTTTGGTTCATGGCCAACACTCTGTTATCTAACATTGGGCCCTGGGAGTCCAGGGATCCTTTCTTCCATAATTTTTGTATGTGACGCCCACTGTCTTGAGACTTCAAGGTATAAAGAGAAAACAGGAGCATCACACTACCTGATCTCAAAATATGTTACAGAGCTGTAGTAAGCAAAACAGCATGATGTTGGCATGAAGAAAGGCACATAGAACAACGGAGCAGAATGAAGAACACAGATATAATCCATGCATTTACATCCAATTTTTTTTATTTTTTCTTTTGAGATGGAGTCTCGCTCTGTCACCCAGGCTGGAGTGCAGAGGTGCAATCTCGGTTCACTGCAACCTCAGCCTCCTGGGTTCAATCAATTCTCTTGCCTCAAACTCCTGAGTAGTAGTATTACAGGTGCTGACCACCATGCTCAGCTAATTTTTATATTTTTAGTGGAGACGATGTTTCATCACGTCGGCCAGAGTAATCTTGTACTCCTGTCCTCAGGTGATCCACCAGCCTTGGCCTCCCAAAGTGCTGAAGTTGCTGGTGTTAGCCACCATGCCCAGCCCATCCAATGGACTTTGACAAAGGTGCCAAGAACTCACAATCAGGAAAGGACAGTTTTTTCAATAAACAGTGCAGGGAAACCTGGACATCTACATGCAGAGGAATGAAACTGCACCTCTACCTGTCACCATACACAAAAATCAAATGAAAGTGGATTAAAGATGTGAGTCTAAGGCCTGAACCTGTGAAACACGTAGAAGAAAATATTGGGGAAATGCTCCAGGACATTTGTCTGAAGGAAGACATTTTGTTTTAAACCTTCAAAACACAAGTAATCGAAGCAAAAATAGACCATTGGGATTACCTCAAACTAAGCAACTTCTGCACCGCTAAAAATAAACCAACAAAGTGAAGAGACAACCCACAGATTGGGAGCAAATATGTGCAAACTATGCATCTGAGACGGGATTAATAACTAGAAGTATAAGAAGCTCAAACAACTCAATAAAACAAATGATTTAATTGAAAAAGGAGCAAAAGACATGAAATTTCCCCACATACGAAAAAGTGCTCAGTATCACTCATCATCAGAGAAACGCGAATTAAAATCAAAGTGAGTTTTCATCTCACCCCATTAAAATGGCTTTTAGGCCGGGCGAGGTGGCTCACGTCTGTCATCCTAGAACTCTGAGAGCCCGAGGTGGGCGAATCTCATAAGGTCGGGAGTTTGAGACCAGTCTGACCCACATGGAGAAACGCTGTCTCTACTAAAAATACAAAAATTAGTCGGGCGTGGTGGCGTGTGCCTGTAATTCCAGCTACTCGGGAGGCTGAGGCAGGAGAATCGCTTGAACCTGGGAGGTGGAGGTTGCGGTGAGCCGAGATCGCACCACTGCACTCCAGCCTGGGTGAGAAGAGCGAAACTCCATCTCAAAATAAAATGAAATAAAATAAAATGGCTTTTAGCTGCAAGACAGGCAAAAGAAATGCTGGCAAGGTGGTAGAGAAAGGAGAACCCTGGTACCCTGTTGGTAGGAGTGTAAATTAGTACAGCCATTACGGAGAAAAGTATGGAAGTCCTTTAAAGAACTAAAAAGAGGTTGGATGAAGTGGATCATGCCTGTAATCCCGGCACTTTGGGAGACCGAGGCGGGCACCTCAGTTGAGGTCATGAGTTTGAGAGCAGCCTAGCCAACCTGGGGAAACCCCATGTACACTAAAAAAAACCAAAAAGTATCCCGGCATGGTGGCGTGCACCTGTAATCCCAGCTACTAGGGAGGCTGAGGCAGGAAAATCATTTGAACCCAGGAAGCGGAGGTTGCAATGAGCCAAGATCACATCACTTGTACTCCAGCCTGGGCACAGAGGGAAACTGTCTCAAAAACAAAAACAAAACAACAAACGAAAAACTAAAAAGAGAACTTTCATAGTATCCAGCAATTTCACTACTGGGTTTATATCCAAAGGAAAGTAAATCAATGTATCGAAGTGATATCTGCACTCGTATGATTGGTGCAGCACTCTTCACAGTAGCCAAGATGTGGAGTCAACCTACCTGCCCATCAGTGGATGAATGGATAGAGAGAATGTAGTACATACGCACAGCGGAGACTACTCATCCATAGAAAGAATAACATCCTGATATTTGCAGCCACATGGATGGAACTGGAAGTCATTACAAAGATTCCCATTTCTCACCCATATACAGGAGCTAAAAGGTGGATCTCATGAAGATAGAGAGTAGAATGGTGGCTACCAGAGGCCAGGAAGAAAAGGGTGGAGGATAAAACAAACAAACAAAAAATTTATATGTATGTATTTATGACCACTAGACCTTACACTTAAAATTGGTAAACGTGGCCGGGCGCGGTGGCTCATGCCTGTAATCCCAGCACTTTGGGAGCCTGAGGCGGGTGGATCACGTGGTCAGGAGTTCCAGAGCAGCTCGACCAACATGGTGAAACCCCCTCTCTACTAAAAATACAAAAAGTAGCCTGGCGTGGTGATGGGCGCCTGTAGTACCAGCTACTCAGGTGGCTGAGGCAGGAGAATCGCTTGAACCCAGGAGGCGGAGGTTACAGTGAGCTGAGATTGTGCCACTGCATTCCAGCATAGGAGACAGAGCTAGACTCCACCTCAAAAAAAAAAAATGTTAAAAGTGGTAAGCTATATAGGTATATTTAACCTCAATGAATATTTTTTCAAACAAAAAGAAAAGGATGTAGGGGTTGCTGGTGATGACATCTCTGTGTGGGTGAGAGGCCAGGAAGGGCTTCTGGGAAATGGGTAAGGTTGAGGGGCTGAGGGAACCTCTGATCTCCCCAAACTGAGCCCAGTCTCCCCTGCTCTGGGTCTCTCCTGACCGCTTTCTACATCTGCCTGGGTGCCTGGAGCCCTAATCGGAGGCCTCCATGCAGGCCATGCAGGAGGGTTTGGAGGTGCTGTGTGTGCCATCCTGCGCCCTGATCCCTCCCTCACAGGCATGCTGCGTCTTCTCTCTGCATCTGTCCATGCTTCTCTCCATCATCAGCAGGAAGCTCCTCAGCTAAGGCTCTAGGATCATAGGACATGGGACAGATATGGGGTTTCCTCACCTGTGACGGAAACAAGCAGTGGATCACTCGAGTTTGACCACTCGTAGGGAGCGTCACGGAAAGAGCCGAAGCATCTGTAGGTCCCTCCGTGGGTGGCAGGGCCCAGAGGAAAGTCGGCCTGGAATGTTCCGTTGATGCTGCGCACTGCAGGGAGCCTACGTTCATGGGCCTCCCCTTCCCTGGATAGATGGAGCTGCAGGACAAGGTCACATTCTCTCCTGCCTGAACCGTGGGGCCCGGCTGGGCTGAGAGAGAAGGTTTCTCATATAGACCTGGAAGGAGAAGGGGCAGTTTCCTCAGGGGGGATCTTCCTTGTCACAGCTCCCCTCACACCTGACCTGAGAACTCACTCCCCTGCTCTATGGCCTAATGCTCTCTTTCTCTGTCTCACCCTCCACCCCATCTCTCTTCATGTCTATTTCCTCCTTCCACCTTCTCTGTCTCTGTAGGTCTCTGACCTCACTTCCCTACCTCTAGTTATGTTTTCCGTTTTTGGATTGTTTTATTCTCTCTGGCTCTCCTTGGATTGGTTGACTTGATGTTACTTTTTTTAACTCTGAGTTTCTCAGTTTGTGTCCCGTTCATAACTTTCTGCATATTTCTATCTATTATCTATCAATCCATCTATTTATCTATTCGGTGCCTATCTACAAATTCTCTACCTGTCATCTATATCTATATATCATCTATTTATCTATCAATTGTCTATCCGTCAATCATCTATTATCTATATATATGTATCATCTCTCTCTCTCTATTATTTCTCTCTTTGTCTTCCTCTCTATCTCTATGTATTATCTATCCATCTACCTTCATCATCATCATCTCTATGTATCATCTATTAATGAATCAATCAATCATCATCTATGTATCTATAACCTATTATCTATCATCTACCTATATATCATCTATCTATATCTATCCATCATCTATCTGTATCTATCCATCTATCATCTGTCTTGCTCTGCCTCTCGGTCTCTCTAGTTCTCTTTGGAATCTCTGCAATTCATCCCCACATCTCCATCTTTCTATGCCCTTGTGCCTCGCCCTCAGGACTCTAATTTTAGTGGTTTTCTCTGCTCTCTTCCATCATTCTCTCCACTTCTCTGCCCTCTTCTCTCTCTTTATGTGTCTGTGAGTCTCTCAATCTCCTTCCTCTGGCTCTTTCTCTGTGTGTTTATGTCTTTGCTTTTTGGTGTCCCTGATTTCTCTCTGTGCTTCTCAGTGATCCTCTCATATGTGATATGTGGGGTTATTTGGAATGTGAGCCTCAGAATCCAGTCTGGAGACCACAAGTTCACACAGCATACAGGGGTTGGTGTTCTGGGGCCATGATATTTTGGGACGATTATTCTCCATTGCATGGAAGTCAGAGGTGTCAGAATAAGCATGGCATCTGTAGGTGCCACAAGGCCTGAGGCCACAGGGCCCAACTCAGGTCAGAAATATGGGTGTCCTTGGGTTCTCCTGGTAGAGAACACTTTGTGGAGGTAAAACAGAAATGAAACTTCTAACCTGTGCCAGGTCTCTGAGCAAAGTCAGCATGGAAGGACACCTCTGTCTGGGACATGTCTGTCTGTCTCCTTTAACTCTTTCTGTCTTTTCTAACTCCCTGTATGGCCCCTGTGTTTGTCCTCTGTTATGACACCTGGTCTGTACTTGTGTCTCTTGTTTCTCTGTCTCTGTTGGCACAGACCTCACCAAGTCAGTCTCTCTCCATAAGAATACCAAGCTCATCTTCCTTACAACCACCTGGGTCTCCAAGTCCTGGATCATTCACTCTGCATCCCAATGACAATGAGAAGAATGTCTGGACACTCTCACCTATGATCACCATGTCCAGAGGGTCACTGGGAGCTGACAACTGATAGGGGGAGTGAGTAACAGAACCGTAGCATCTGTAGGTTCCTGCAAGGACAGGCATCATGGGACCAATGGAGAAGTTGGCCTTGGAAACCCCATCATGGTGCTCTCCAATGAGGTGCAAAGTGTTGTTAAACTTCCCCTCTCTGTGCAGAAGGAAGTGCTCAAACATGACATCCGACCAACATTGCAGGATGACTGTCTCTTCTGATTTCACCAGGTGACCTGGGAGGGCCAGGAAGGAAGGTTTTCTGTGGACTTCTAGGAAGAGAGGTTGTGAGTTTAGAAGGTGTCTCTCTTTATCATCCCATCCATGGCACCTGGAATGAGTGAGCCTTCCCTTCGCTGGTGTCTGTCTCTCTGCTTCCTCTCTGTGTCTTCATGTTCTTTTCTGTGCCCATAACTCCTGGTGCAGGTCCTTCCATCTGTCTCCCTCCCTCTTCTCTGTCCCTCTGTCTCTAGTAGCTGTGATTCCCTTCCCACTGGGCTCAGCCTCATCTCTTGGGCTGTTGTATCTATTTCACACTAATGTCTTTCTTACTGTCTATGTGGGAGTGGAAGAGGAAGCAGGATAGGCTGCACGTCCCGGCTCTTAGCAGCCTGGTTCAATCTCTTTTGGACGAATTGGAATCCTTGGCAGGAGGTATGAACTGATCAGTAAGGCAGGCACCAGTGTCCACACACCCTGTTCCTGGTGGGGACTGGGAGCCACTCTTGCCATGTCTGTGCCTTCTCCATGGTGCCAGTTTCCATAGGCTGGCTCCTCGTGCTGATTTGAGGAGTATCAACCCCTCCCTATGTGGATGGAGCCTGGTGGTAGCATCATCATCCCACCCTTGCTGATCTCGGTGTAGCCAACCTTCTCTTTGTTTGGTTTCTTTAATTAATTAATTAATTTTGGAGACAGAGTCTCACTCCTTCGCCCAGGCTGGAGTGAAGTGGTGTGGTCTACGCTCACTGCAACCTCTGTCTCCTGGGTTCAAGCGATTCTCCTGCTCTCAGCCTCCCGAGTCGCTAGGATTACATGCACCTGCCACCATGCCTGGCTATCCTTGTGTCTTTTCTTAACTTGTCCTTGACCTGGGTTCCAGTGTTGGTTTCCTGTTGCTGCTGTAGAAAATTATCAGAAGCATGGCAGCAGGAGAGAGCACACTGACCCCCTCCGATTCTGGAGACAGAAAGCGGACGCTGTTTTTCGAGGGCTAAAATCAAGGCATCTGCAGGGCTGTGTTCCCTCTGGAGACTCAGGAGAATCAGTTACTTGACTTTCCCAGCCTCTATAGGCCACCTGCATTCATGGCTTATGGCCTTCATCCACCTTCAAAGCTGATGGAGTCTCCCACTACGCTGCTCTAATCCCCACTCTCCTCTTCCTCCTCCTTTCATGTGGACCCTTGTGATTATACTGAGCCCACCGGGACAGTCCAGGCTGTCTCCCCATCTCAAGGTCAACTCATCAACAACCTGAGCTCCATCTTCCCCTTCAGTCCCTTCCCCTATAACATAAATAGTCACAGACTCCAGGGATTAGAATGCAGTCATCATTGGGGACACTTATTCTTCCCACCACAGCACCCATTTCCCTGTATTCAATCCCCCTTTACCCCAAATACAGTTAGGGCCTGCGTGATGGGACCCTCAAGGACATGCCTACCAGAAGCTCTGGGATTCAGGAGGTGGGACAAGGAGAATCCCAGACAGGAGCCCTCTGACCTGTGACCATAATCACCAGGGGGTTGCTGGGTGCCGACCACCCACTGGGGGAGTGTGTGTGTGAACCCCGGCATCTATAGGTCCCTGCATGTGACGGGGTCACAGGGCCCATGAAAAGGCTTTTCCAGAATATTCTGTTGTACAGCTCAGGGACAGGCACCCCATCATCCTTGTACAGACTGAAGTTGTTAAACCCAAGATTAGAGTGACACTGAAGAGTCACATGTTCTGGAGGCACCACAAGGCTGGGCCAGGTAGAAAGCAAGGGCTTGTCCTGACCACCTTGGGGTGAAGGAGGCGCCGCCTTAGAGAGGAGGATGTGGAGCTGTGCCTCCCTCCCTGTGCTCAGAAGATTCTCCCCACTTTCCACATTTCTATGGCTGCTATCACACCTTGGTGCCTAGGGCTAAAGGAAGGACCCATCCCACAAAGACAAGGTGTCTCCGTACAACAAAAGTGTCAGCTGAGAACTTTGAGCAAGTGCTGAGTAAGAGACTCCTACTAGATTTTAATACTGTAAGATTACTCACATAAAACAACACAGGGTAGACATGAAGTGGAGGGCATGTCCTTTGAGAATGGAATATCAGCAGTTGCCTGAATGAAAATAAAAAACTTAGCCCCCATCAGAGGATTTGGAATGTCAGGGCCATGGCTGTGGTTTCCCACCTCTTCTGGTAGAATGACAGCAGCCACACTGCAGCCCCTACCATCATGGAAACGCTGAAGTGTGTGAGTAACACCTTTGTCCTCAGAGGATCTGCTGTTCCTACCACTTCCCCACCACACAACCCAGCTTTGAACACCCTAGTCCAACCCTGGTCCCCACACAACTTGACTCTGCCAAGGGGTTGAGAGGCCAGGGAGGCAAGGTCGGAACTGTGGGCCGAGCACCCCAGGGTCCCCTCTTCCTAGTTTATAAGAGACTCCCTGACAGGACTTCCCTCCCGTTTCAGGAAAATCCTCTTATGTGGGGAGATGACACCCTAAGGTTTGGAGAAGGACTTACCCTCCTGTGGCCAGGCCCCCTGCAGCAAGAAGAACCCTGGAAAGAAAGATCATGATGGAAGATCCATTTGCAGGCAAACAAGGCCTTCCTTGCTGCCCCCACTGGGCTGTGAGTCTTGATAGCCAGCCCCTTCCTGGGCCGAAGGGAAACTCACCATCAGTGCCTACCTGCACCCAAGAACAGTGCTCTCGGCTGTGCAGAGACCCAGCCTCCAGGCCCATATCCCCACCCCAAGCCCATATCTCCACTCCAGGCCCATATCTCCACTCCAGGCCGATATTTCCACCCTAGACCCATATAGCCAATCCGGGCCCACATCTCCAATCCAGGCTCAGATCTCCACCCTAGGCCCATATCTCCAATCCAGGCCCATATCTCCACTCCAGGCCCATATCTCCTCTCCAGTCCCATATCTCCACTCCAGGCCCATATCTCCACCCCAGGCCCAGATCTCCACCTCCAGGCCCATAACTACACTCCAGGATCATATCTCCACTCCAAGCCCATATCTCCACATCAGGCCCATATCTCCACTCCAGTCCCATATCTCCACACCCAGGCCCATATCTCCATTCCAGGCCCATATCCCCATCCTAGGCCCATATCTTCACCGTAGGCCCAGATCTCCACTCCAGGCCCATATCTCCACTCCAGGGCCATATCTCCACTCCAGGCCCATATCTACACACCAGGCCCATATCTCCACCCCATGCCCATGTCTCCACTCCAGACCCATATCTCCACCCCATGCCCATATCTCCACTCCAGGCCCATATCTCCAACCCACGCCCATATCTCCACCTCCAGGCACATATCTCCACCCCATGCCCGTATCTCCACTCCAGTCCCATATCTCCACTCCCGGCCCATGTCTCCACCCCATGCCTATATCTCCACTCCAGTCCCATATCTCCACTCCAGGCCCATATCTCCACTCCAGAACCATATCTCCACTCGGCCCATATCTACACTCCAGGCCCATATCACCACCTCCAGGCCCATATCTCCACTCCAGGCCCATATCTCCACCTCCAGGCCCATATCTCCACTCCAGACCCATATCTCCACTCCAGGCCCATATCTCCACTCCAGGCCCATATCTCCACTCCAGGGCCATATCTCCACTCCAGGCTCATATCTCCACTCCAGGCCCATATCTCCACTCCAGGGCCATATCTCCACTCCAGGCTCATATCTCCACTCCAGGCCCATATCTCCACTCCAGGGCCATATCTCCACTCCAGGCCCAGATCTCCACCTCCAGGCCCGTATCTCCACTCTAGTCCCATATCTCCACTCCAGGCCCATATCTCCACCTCCAGGCCCATAACTTCACTCCAGGCCCATAACTCCACTCCAGGCCCATATCTCCACCTCCAGGCCCATATCTCCACTCCAGGGCCATATCTCCACTCCAGGCTCATATCTCCACTCCAGGCCCATATCTCCACTCCAGGGCCATATCTCCACTCCAGGCCCAGATCTCCACCTCCAGGCCCCTATCTCCACTCTAGTCCCATATCTCCACTCCAGGCCCATATCTCCACCTCCAGGCCCATAACTTCACTCCAGGCCCATAACTCCACTCCAGGCCCATATCTCCACCTCCAGGCCCATATCTCCACTGCAGACCCATATCTCCACTCCAGGCCCATATCTCCACTCCAGGCCCAGATCTCCACTCCAGGCCCAGATCTCCACTCCAGGCCCAGATCTCCACCTCCAGGCCCCTATCTCCACTCTAGTCCCATATCTCCACTCCAGGCCCATATCTCCACCTCCAGGCCCATAACTTCACTCCAGGCCCATAACTCCACTGCAGACCCATATCTCCACTCCAGGCCCATATCTCCACTCCAGGACCATATCTCCACTCCAGGCTCATATCTCCACTCCAGGCCCATATCTCCACCTCCAGGCCCATAACTTCACTCCAGGCCCATAACTCCACTCCAGGCCCATATCTCCACTCCAGTCCCATATCTCCACTCCAGTCCCATATCTCCACCCTAGGCTCCTACCTCCCCTCCAGGTTCCTATCTCTCCTCCAGGTTCCTCTCTCCACTCCAGGTTCCTATCCCCACTCCAGGCCCATATCTCCACTCCAGGCCCAGATCTTCACTCCAGGCCCAGATCTCCACTCCAGGCGCAGATCTCCACTTCTAGGCCCATCACTCCATCTCTAGGCCCAGATCTCCACTCCAGGCCCAGATCTCCACTCCAGGCCCATAACTCCACCTCCAGGCCCATATCTCCACCTCTGGGCCCAGATCTCCATCCCCACGCTCCCTCCCTCTATTCCCTTCCAGGACTCACCAACACACGCCATGATGATGACCATGAGCGACATGGTGCTGCCGGTGCAGACAGGCGGCCGCGCCCCAGCTCAGCTCAGCAGCGCACAGGATGTTATTTGGCGCCCTGCCCATGCAGTTTACATGTTGACCACATCATGGGAGGGTGACGTACGCAGGCTTTTTCTACCTTGCATGAGGCCCAGTGGGTGCTCGCTCAAGAGCGGAACATGGCTTCCTGGAAATTGCTCTCACTAGAATTGACACCTCGCGTCCTTCACTATGACCAACTCAAAACACGTCTTAGATCCAACCTCCCAAACATGAGATGCCTAAAATCTGTGCTAACATGAAAGACTTTTCATGAATTTTTATTGTTTTTATCTGAGATTCGAACTCTTCTTCCTGTGTAATATGCAAAATATCTAATAGGTATTATTAGTGTTTTCAGAGTCATTGTGACTAATAAACCATTAGAATTGTTCATGCTTGTATTTCTAGTATTACAGCAGAACCAGTTCAAATGATTTAAATTCCCAGGGAAGGATTATGCAATTATTTACAATCTTAGAATTGTACTTTATCAGCAAAAACCACACATGTAAATTCTGGATTTTTGTAGTTTTATCTATAATTTGTCTCATGACTCAAGATTCCAGAGTCCCAACTTTGGAGTTTGCTCTCTCTCTGTCTCTCTGCCTCCCTCATTTTAAATTTTACAGAAATATCCAGTAACATAATGCTATAGAAAATCAAGTTTCCCCCAGCAGGTCGGGAAGCCGAGGTGGGCGGATCAACTGAGATGAGGAGATTGAGAGCAGCCTGGCCAACACAGTGAAACCGCGTCTCTGCTAAAAATTCAAAAATTAGCCATGCCTGGTGGCAGGCACCTGAAACGCCAGCTACTCAAGAGACTGAGGCACGAGAATCGCCTGAACCTGGGAGGCGGAAGTTGCAGTGAGCTGAGATTGTGTCACTGCAGTCCAGCCTGGGCGACAGAGCAAGACTCCGCCTCAAGAAAAAAAAATAGCAAGTAGCCTATAATAACAAATTAGAGGGCTCTGGCTACTAAATTTAAAGGGTTTTATAAGGCTACATGAAGTGCAGCATCCTCAAGAGTGTGGACACAGAGAGCCCCTTAGCAGAAACAGTGTCTAAAATACATCCGTGTACACACAGTCCCTTTAGAGTTGACAAAGGCTGCCGTGTGGTTTAAGGTGGCATAGAATGTCTTCTCAATAAATAATATTAAACCAAAGGGTTACACGTAGGAAAAAATAAATCTAAACTTATTCTCACACTATAAAAACACTTCTTACTTTTTATCTAGTTATTGTACATTTTTTATGATTTATATTTAAAATTGAGAAATAAAAGTCATATACGGTCATCCTTTACTATTCGTGGGTGATTGGTTTCAGGATCTCCACTCAGGTACCAAAATCTGCAGATGCTCAAGCCTCTTACATAAAATGACACAGCATTTGGATATAACCCATGCACATCCTCCTGTATACATGAAATCATCTCTTGATTACTTATAATTCCTGATACAGCCTACACACTGCCTCATTTGTGTCCATTCAACATAGTTTTGCATTTTGAAACTTTGTGGACATTTTCTCTGAATATTTTTGATTTACACTTGGTTCAATAAACACCTGTAAACCCCACAGATATGGAGGAGCGACTGTATATTTATAGTATGAAATATGATGTGTTGATATGTGTCCCCGTGGAGATGAGACTAGCAAGGCTTATGACTCTACAAATGTTTCATCGTGGAATGACTCTGCCAGCTTTCCAGGTTGCAGAGAGTAAGAATATCACTTGTTCATGTGATTCACGATCCTTGGAACCTCCTATGTGCTGCATCTTTGGATGGAAATTGGAGTCCCAGAGACAAATGAGGCTCCACCCTGCTTCCAGAAGCTCAGAGTCCAGGGGTGAGAACCCAGCGGAGAACAGATGGGGTTATGTGGACATGGTAATGATAACAGCGGTTTCTTTCAGCGAATACAGTGTCACATTACCTGAAGCAATGAGGGCAGACATGTTTATTTGAAGAGGAGACAGCTACATTGAAATCACAAAAAATTTTATAAGTTTCACTGCTGACAGAAGGCTGGAAAATAGTCCGAAGAAAGGTGAAACAGCATGAGGGAAGGTGGAACAGCACGTGGGTAAGTGCCACGTCAAGAGGGAGCCTCTTGTATGTTTGGAATTGTGAGTTCCTCAGTGTGATCGCAGCCTCAAGTAGACTAGGAAGTAAGCCAGTTAGGTTGGAGAGGTGGGCAGGGGTCAAGTGAAATGGAGAACTGTGGGCTAAGCAAAGGAGTGTGTTTTCTTTCCAGCAGGCAGTGGGGACCTAGACATTTGTAAGCAAGAGAGAGGCACCAGATTTGTGGCGTGAGGAGGAGCGATGCCCTAAGATGAAGACTCACGCCTTCAGATTCCAGCTGCTGGTACATGGGAGCTGGCAACTCGGTTTTGAGACAGGGCTGTTGTCTCCCTAGAAGACGCCCTCAAGGCCTGACTGTGGTGCTCATGGGCAGGAGACAACTTTGGATCTGGGCTTAGCATTTGGAAGTTCCGTGTACAAGATGGTATCTGTAGGGGGTGTCTTGGGCCTCTGAGAAGGGCGAGTGATTTTTCTCTGTGTGAAAACGCAGTGATCCAACTGTGCGTATGTCACCTCCTCAGGGTCTTGTTCATCAGAGTCCTGGAGAGAGGGAAATGCTGAGTGAGGGAGGGAAATGCTGAGTGAGGGAGGGTGCTCACGTTTTCCAGGACTGTTTGGGAATAACACTAGCCATGAGGCTGGGCCGAGGAGCACCTACCTCGCTGTTGGCTGTTCTGTTCCCTGCAGGCTCTTGGTCCATTACAGCAGCATCTGTAGGAGACGGAAGTCAACAAAAGAGCTCGGAGGGCACTTCTGGGTCCTCATTTCATAAGCAGATACCAACAAACAGGGGGAGGCCATAGGTGCCTGAGGTCCCTCAGTTGCCAACAGCAGACTCAGACATTCTATCTCTCTGAGCTCAAGGACCCATCCCATGAATAGCTCTGAGTTCCCATCCCATTGATTCTGTCTCCCACTTTCTGCCTGTCATGGAACCTTCTCCTGGATGTGAGTGGCTGCAGGGGACATGAGGATACAGTTCAGAATCAGGCAACGGTCTGTGAGCTGAAGGCAGGGGCAGGGAGTCTGGTGCTCTCTCTAGAAAGTCCTGCCTCTGTGGCTCCTGTCTTGGGCCAGGGACCATCCTGCCAGTGAGGAACACACAGCTGTGTGCTCCCATCCTGCTTCCCCACATGGCCCTGAGCTCTCTGGCCTGTGCCGCGTGAGACTTACTTTTTTTGTTGGAGCACCAGAGATGAAGGAGAAAGAAGAGGAGGAGGATGAAGAGGATGATGACCACTGAGGTCCCAATCAGAATGTGCAGGTGTCTGGGGTTACCTGGAAGAAGAGGAGACACCAGTAAGAAGCTAATCATAGCAGTTTCTCTATATGAATTGTCTTGCATTTCTTGATTGACAGGTAACCACTTACAGCATCTCTTTCGGACAAGCACCCAGATGGCGGGAGACCTAGCTTCCTCCTGCTTTCTCAGTTATAGCTCTCATAGTAACCATGGAACGTGCTGAGGATACAACTACTTTAGTTGAGATGTTTGACCCCTTCAAACCTCACATTGAAATTTAACCCCCAGTGTGGGAGGTTGGGCCTCTTGGGAGGTGTTTGGGTCATGGAGGTGGATCCATCATGAACAGATCAATGCTGTCCCAAGGAGACGGGGTTAGCAAGTTCCCTCTCTATTAGTTCCTGGAGAGCTGGTTGTTAAAAAGAGCTTGGAAGCTCCATTGCTCCCCCTCCCCCTTGCTCCCTCTCTTGCCGTGTGATCTCTGTGGTCTCTGCACAGACAGACCCTCCTTCCCTTCTGCCAGAGTGGGAGCGGCCTGAGGCCATCATAAGAAATAGATGCTGGTGCCATGCTTCCAGTACAGCCTGCAGAATGGTGAGGCAAACCAATCTCTTCTTTAGAAGTTACCCAGGCTCAAGTGTTCCTTTAGAGCAACAAAAATGGACTAAGACAGCAAAGTCCTGAGATCAGGAGGATCGTCCCAGAACAGCCTGGGCTGTCTTCCTGTTCTTCCTGGAGGAGGACGTCATGCAGTGCTTTAGCTGAGTGCTTCCTGTGGCTCCAGGGTACAAAACCCAGGCTGGGCTGCTTTCTGGCTTCCCCCAGCTACACTGCAAATGGGGTGACTCCACATGTCTCGAGCAGCTTTTCTGAGCCTTGGGGAACTGGCTCACATTGAAATGTAGGCTTCTGTTGTCACTCGCTGCTTATCTGTTAGTAATGAACCTGCCTATGTAACGTATTCTCTGTGTGTTCTGTCTCCCTGGAGTGACGGTGAGTGATAGGAATTGGCATAGGCCCAGGTGCAGTCCAGGAGGTGTTTAGAGTCTTCTCTGGGAAGACTGGACTGGGATTGATACACAGCGAATGTGCTTTAGGATTTCTACATCCACGGCATTCTTGAGTTAAACAACTTGCATTCTCCAAGAAAAGGAAACAAAAGTGAAATCAATATAAAAAAAGCGAAGTAGAATTCTCTTATGTCAAACAGCCAGAAAATAGTGTTGAAGCCCGTGTGAAATGTGCTACTCTTTGTGATCTCGGGAGACACATGTTAGGCTGCTGTTCTACCTGAGAGGCTGGGGGAAGGACCACCCCCTCGACTATCTATTGCTTCAATACCACCTGTCCTCCTGTGAATTAGTAGGAAAGGGGAGCAGGAGCTAGTGCTGTCGCTGATCTCTGATTCCAAGATCTGGACTCACTCCAAGGAGTATTAGCATTTACCTCCCCATGATCTATCTGTATCTCCACAGGTGATTGGAAGTAGGGGTGAGATGGGGGATTTGGGTGAGGGGGCAAGTTTTTTTTGTGATGACGAGAGCACTTTCTCTATTCCAGGATTTGTGCTGGAGGATTCAGCGGGCTTTCACATTTTCTATATGATCTCATGCTCACAGAAAGCCAAATACGGAAGAGGTTTTAGGCTGATTGCCTAATGGATAAGATAAAGGATCAAAGAAGTAATTATAGAGAAATAGAAAAATGATGATGGGAATTCAGGTGCCTTTGTCATTCGTGTGTGTTTTATTATATTTATGCATTTCTTATTTTTATTTTTTGAGATGGAGTCTCCTTGTGTCACCCAGGCTGGAGTGCAGTGATGCGATCTCCACTCACTGCAACCTCCATCTCCTGGGTTGAAGTCATTCTCCTGCTTCATCCTCCAGAGCAGGAGCTGGGATTACAGGGATGCACCACCATGCTCGGCTAATTTTTGTATTTTTAGGAGAGATAGGGTTTCACCATGTAGAGATAGGGTTTCACCATGTTGGCCAGGCTGGTCTCGAACTCCTGACTTCTTGGAATCCACTGGCCTTAGCCTCCTGCAGTGCTGGGTTACAGGAGTGAGCCACCGTTCACAGACTTGTATACTATGCTATAATAGGTCCCTTCATTTCCACCACCCCTCATATATCTGTCACTCCTTTGCCAGGTATTGATTTATGTGTAGGAGGAATAAATCTCAGAAAGAAATTAATTTAGCAAGGATTAAACAACTAGGAAACTCAAACCCAGCAAGCCCTCCCTGCAAATGATTCTACCTCCCAAGCATAGCTTATATCCATCTGCTTCATCCACTTAGGGTCTAAATCAGCACCACATTTCACCAGTGGGGCGGGAATTGCCTTTTCCACGGTCTCCTAGATTCCAGTTACGCACCTGGGCCTCCCTTATTTTCATGTCAGTCACTATTAATCATGTAGGGATTCCTGGTTACCCCGAGGTGAATCCAAGGGCTGTGAGTGTCAAACACACACTCCTTGTTGCTCCTTAGTTTCCTGTGTACCCAGTGTGCTCTCCGTCTCTCCACAGTCGTCTTGTCATTCTCCCCACTTCATTCCCAGCATTTGAGTCAGAGCCTCTTCCTTCAACATCAGATTGTTTTCACCTTTGTGCCTTCACAGCTGACAGCTGTGTGGAAAATCCTTCCGCCAATCTTTCAGGGGTTCAATCCGTGTTTTTCATTAATGTCACAAATATCTGATTAGTGAGACCTTCTCTGTCACCCAAAATTATACACTCAGCATTATCTATTATTTATTTTGAATTCTGGCTGGGCAAAGTGGCTCACGCCTGTAATCCCAGTACTTTGGGTTGCTGAGATGGTCGGATCACTTGAGGTTGGGAGTTTCAGACAAGCTTGGCCAATATGGTGAAACATCCTCTCTACAAAAAATATACAAAAAGAATTAGCCGGGCATGGTGGCAGTTGCCTGTAATCCCAGCTACTCGAGAGGCGGAGGCAGGAGAATCACTTGGATCCAGGAGACGCAGGTTGCAGTGAGCCAAGATCGTGACACTGCACTGTAGCCTGGAAGACAGAGGGAGACTCTGTCTCAATAAATAAATGAACGAACAAACAAATAGATTTCATACACAGATGCTTCCCAATGGATCATTCATTTATTGGTCCACTTGTGCATTCATTTTCTGCCCTCCCATTTAACCATCTGCAATATCAGTGTCCCAAGAGCAGAGGCCAAATGCATCTTGTTCACCGTTCGTGGAAGGCAGGAGAATGCTGTCCCACCCCAAAATGTCCCTGTCCTGGCCTCCATAGCTTGTGAATATGTTATTTTACATGGAAAGAAGGAATGAAGATTGCAGATGGAATTACGGTTGCTAGTCAGCTGAACTTAAAACAAGGGTATCCTGAATGATTTCCGGGAGATTATGATGGATTTTCATCTTGGTGAACCCAATAGAATCCCCAAGTTTTCAAAAGATAAGGAAGAAGGGAGAGCAGCATTCAGAGAAAGAGGTGTGGTAAGGAAGAAGGGTCTGAGTGATGCCATGTGAGATGTGACCAGCCTTTGTGGGCTTTGAGGAAGGAGGAAGGGGACCAGGAGCCAAGGAACTGGGAGCCTTTATAAGATGGGACAAGTGAGAAGCAGATTCTTGCCTGGAATCCTCAGGCAAGGGAAGGCAGCCTTGCTGTCACCTTGTTTTTAGCCCAGTGAGATGCACTTCATACTTTGAGCTACAGCACTGTAAGATAATTAAAAAGCCGCTTTGTTTTCACCCACGAATCTTGTGGAAATTTGTTATGGCAACAATAGGAAAGGATTCCAACTGCACAGCCTGAGCATGGGGCTGTGGCTGAATGAGTCAGTGAGTCGAAGTGTGCGTGCATGAGCTCTGTTCTCTATTACGGCAAGGCTCTTGCTCTGCTGAGTCAGCCAGGGTTGCTTCATGACCAACAGTAATTCATTCCTTGGCAAGTGGAACTTCTCTAAAACACCTCGCCCTCATCAGATGTTCCCTTCCCTTCCCTCTCTCAAGTCCCCAGGAATTTATCCTCCAGTTAGGAATGCAGGAAGAAAAAACACTGCATGTTTCCTGAGAAGGATGTCAGATTGGCAATCATTCTTCTAGCTTGTAGGAGGTCTCACCTGCAGGACATTAAAGGTTAAGAGACTTCGCTGAGCCCTTTGGTGGCCCTAGATCCCTTTCACTGTTGGAGTGTCTGGAGTTCAGAGATGGTGGAAGACAGGCCCTCATTCACAGAGCTGGGAGGTTTGAGCCAACACTTGCATCCAAGGCTTCCACCTCCCCAGGTTTCCAAAAGCAGAGATAAGAGGGGTCCTTTACTCACCAGATTTGGAGCTTGGTTCTGTGGGTGAAGGCCAACTACTTGAAGGGTTTCCTAGAACACGGGACAGGAGAGATGTGAGGAAATGAGGGTGCTTGTCCTCTACTCAATGGAAATCTTTGAGGTTGGTTCATGGCCAACACTCTGTTATCTAATGTTGGACCCTGGGAGTCTTGGGATCCTCTTCTCCATAATTTTTGTGTGCGATGCCCACTGTCTTGAGACTTGAAGGTATAAAGAGAAAACAGGAGCATCACACTACCTGACTTAGAAATATGTTACAGAGCTGTAGTAAGCAAAACAGCATGACATTGGCATAAAGAAAGGCACATAAAAAATGGAACAGAATGGAGAACACAGATATAATCCATGCATTTACATCCAATGGCTTTTTTTGTGTGTGTGTGTGATAGAATCTTGCTCTGTCATGCAGGCTGGAGTGCAGAGGTGCAATCTCAGCTCAATGCAACCTCCACTTCCTGGATTCAAGCAATTCTCTTGCCTCAAACACCCGAGTAGTGGTATTACAGGCACTGGTCACCATGCTCAGCTAATTTTTGTATTTTTAGTAGAGACGAGGTTTCACTCTGTTGGCCAGCCTGGTCTTGAACTCCTGGCTTCAGGTGATCCATCCGCCTCGGCCTCCCAAAGTGCTGGAATTGCAGGTGTGAGCCACCATACCCAGCCCATTTAATGGACTTTGACAAAGGTGCCGAGAACTTACAATCAGGAAAGGACAGTCTTTTCAATAAATGGTGTGGGGAAAACTGGATATCTACATGCAGAGGAATAAAACTGCATCTATACCTGTCACCTTACACAAAAATCAAATGAAAATGGATTAAAAACATGAGTCTAAGGCCTGAACCTATGAAACATGTAGAAGAAAATAATGGGGAAGACATTTGTCTGACGAAAGACATTTTGTTTAAAACCTTCAAAACACAAGTAATCAAAGCAAAAAATAGACCATTAGGATTACATCAAACCAAGCAACTTCTGCACCACAAAAGATAAACCAAGAAAGTGAAGAGACAACCGACAAAATAGGAGCAAATATTTGCAAACTATTCATCTGAGACGGGATTAATAACTGGAAATATAAGAAGCTCAAACAACTCAATAAAACAATTTAATTCAAAAAAAGAGCAAAAGACATGAGGAGACATTTCTCCACAAACAAAACATAGAAATGGCGATCACGTATATGAAAAAGTACTCGGCATCACTCATCATCAGAGAAATGTAAATTACAATCGCGATGAGTTTTCATCTCATCCCATTAAAATGCCTTTTAGGCCGGTGGCTCACGCCTGTAATTCCGGCACTTCAGGAGGCGGAGGTGGGCGGATCACCTGAGGTCGGGAGACCAGCCTGACCAACATGGAGAAACTCCCTCTCTACTAAACATACAAAAATTAGCTAGGCGTGGTGGCACATGCCTGTAATCCCAGCTACTTTGGAGGCTGAGGCAGGAGAATCAGTTGAACGCGGGAGGCGGAGGTTGCAGTGAGCTGAGATCACACCCTTGCACTCCAGCCTGGGCGACTATGAGTGAAACTCCATCTCAACATAAATAAATAAATAAAATAAAGTAAAGTAAAATGGCTTTTACTGCAAGACAGGCAAAACAAATGCTGGCAAGATGGTAGAGAAAGGAGAACCCTGGTACCCTGTTGGTAGGAATGTAAATTAGTACAACTATTATGGAGAAAAGTATGGAAATTCTTTAAAAAACTAAAAGGAGGCTGGGCATAGTGGCTTATGCCTGTAACTTCAGCACTTTGGGAAACCGAGGCAGGCACCTCACTTGAGGTCAGGAGTTTGAGAGCAGCCTGCCCAAAATTGGGATATCCCGTCTGTGCTAAAAAAGTACAAAAATTAGCCAGGCATGGTGGCGTGCACCTGTAATCACAGCTACTAGGGAGGCTGAGTCAGGACAATCATTTGAACCTAGGAGGCACAGGTTGCAATGAGCCAAGATCTCACCACTTAGACTCCAGCTTGGACTAAGGAGGGAAACTCTTTCTCAAAAAAGGAAAAAAAAAAAAGAGAACTTTCATAGTGTCCAGCAATTTCACTACTGGGTTTATATCCAAAGGAAAGGACATCAGTGTATCGAAGTGATATCTGCACTCATATGACTGTTCCAGCACTGTTCACAGTAGCCAAGATGTGGAGTCAACCTACCTGCCTATCAGTGGGTGAATGGATAGAGAACTGTAGTACACACACACGGTGGAGACTACTCATCCATAGAAACAATAACATCCTGTCATTTGCAGCCACATGGATGGAACTGGAGGTCATTACAAAGATTCCCATTTCTCACCACATGCAGGAGATAAAAGGTGGATCTCATGAAGGTGGAGAATACAATGGTGGACACCAGAGGCCAGGAAGGGAAGGGTGGAGGGTAACAAAAAAAAGAATATAGATGTATTTATTTATTTAGAAACAGAGTCTCTCTCTGTCTCCCAGGCTGCAGTGCAGTGGCATGATCTCGGCTCAGTGCAACCTCTGCCTCCTGGCTTTAAGTGCTTCTCCTGCCTCAGCCTCCCAAGTAGCTAGGACTACAGGTGCATGCCGGCATGCTCGGCTAATTTTTCTTGTCTGTTTAGTAAAGATGAATTTCCCACATGTTGGCCAGGGTGATCTCGAGTTCCTGATCTTAAATGATCCACCTTCCTTGGCCTCTCAAAGCGCCGAGATTACAACCGTGAACCACCACACCCAGCATATAAAGGTATTTATGACCACTAGATTTTACTTTTAAAAATGGTAAAGGTGGTAAATTATATAGTTACATTTAACCTCAATAAATATTTTTGAAAATGAAAAGAAAAGGGTGTAGGGGTTGCTGGTGATGACATCTCTCTGTGTGGGTGAGAGGCCATGATGGGCTTCTGGGAAATGGATAAGATTGAGGGGCTGAGGGAACCTCTGATCTCCCGAAACTAAGCCCAGTCTCCCCTTCTCTGGGTCTGTCCTGACCGCTTTCTCCATCTGCCTGGGTGCCTGGAGCCCTGATCGGAGGCCTCCATGCAGGCCATGAAGGAGGGTTTGGAGGTGCCCTGTCTGCCATCCTGCGCCCTGACTCCGCCCTCACACCTGCTGTGTCTTCTCTCTGCATCTGTCCATGCTTTTCTCCATCATCAGCAGGAAGCTCCTTAGCTAAGGATTTAGGATCATAGGACATGAGAGAGATATGGGCTTTTCTCACCTGTGACAGAAACAAGCAGTGGGTCACTCGGGTCTGACAACTCGTAGGGAGAGTGACGGAAAGAGCCAAAGCATCTGTAGGTCCCTCCGTGGGTGGCAGGGCCCAGAGGGAAATCTGCCTGGAATGTTCTGTTGACCTTGCGCACTGCAGGGAGCCTACGTTCATGGGCTCCCCCCTCCCTGGATAGATGGTACATGTCATAGGAGCTCCGGGAGCTACAGGACAAGGTCACGCTCTCTCCTGCCTGAACCTTGGGGCCCGGCTGGGCTGAGAGAGAAGGTTTCTCATATGGACCTGGAAGGAGAAGAGGCAGTTTCCTCAGGGAGGTTCTTCCTTGTCATAGCTCCCCTCATACCTGAGCTGAGAACTCACTCCCCTGCTCTATGACCTAATGCTCTCTCTCTCTCTCTCACCCTCCACCCCATCTCTCTTCATATCTGTTTCCTCCTTCTACCTTTTCTGTCTCTCTAGGTCTATGACCTCAATTCCCCACCCTGAGGTATGTTTTCCCTTTTTGGATTGTTTTATTCTCTCTGACCCTCCTTGGATTGGTTGACTTGATCTTCCTTTTTCTTTAATTTTGAGTCTCTCACTTTCTGTCTTGTTCATAACTTTCTGCACATTTCTATCTATTAATCTATTTTGTGTCTATCTACAAATTATCTATCATCTATATTTATGTATCACTTATCTATCTCTCTATCAATTGTCTGTCTGTCTATCTATCCATCAATCATCTATTATCTATATATGTATCATCTATCTCTCTCTCTATTACCTCTCTGTCTGCCTCTCTGTCTCTATTTATGTATCATCTATGTATATATCTATGTGTCTATCATCATCATCGTCATCTCTATGTATCATCTATCAGTCATCATCTATGTATCTATAACCAATCCATTATCTATCATCTACCTATTTATCATCTATCTACGTCTATCTATCCATCTATCATCTCTCTCTCTCCGTCTCCTTGTCTTTCTCTGCCTCTCAGTCTCTCTAGTTCTATTTGGAATCTCTGCAATCCATCCCCACATATTTATCTTTCTCTGTCTTTGTGTCCCTCCCTCAGGGTTCTGATTTTGGGGCTTTTCTCTCCTCCTTTCCATCATTCTCTCCACTCTGCCCTCTTTTCTTTCTTTTTATGTGTCTGTGAATCTCTTAATCTCCTTCTTCTGGCTCATTTTGTGTGTGTTTATGTCTTTGCTTTTTGGTGTCCCTGATTTTTCTCTGTGTCTCTCAGCGATCCTATCATATGTGGGATTATTTGGAATATGAGCCTCAGAATCCAGTCTGGGGACCCCAAGTTCACACAGCATACAGGGGTTGGTGTTCAGGGGCCATGATATCCTGGGATGATTACTCTCCATTGCATGGAAGGCAGAGGTGTCAGAATAAACACGGCATCTGTAGGTGGCACAAGGCCTGAGGCCACAGGGCCCAACTCAGGTCAGAAATATGGGTGTCCTTGGGTTCTTCTGGTAGGAACACTTTGTGGAGGTAAAACAGAAATGAAACTTCTAACCTGTGCCAGGTCTCTGAGCAAAGTCAGCATGGAAGGACACCTCTCTCTGGGACATGTCTGTCTGTCTGAGTGTCTCCTTTACCTCTTTCTCTCTTTTCTACCTCCCTGTATGGCCCCTGTGTCTGTCCTCTGTTATGACAACTGTTCTGTACTTATGTCTCCTGTTTCTCTGTCTCTGTTGGTACAGACCTCACCAAGTCACTCTCTTTCCGTAAGAATCCCACACTTATCTTCCTCATGACCACCTGGGGGTTCCAAGTCCTGGATCATTCACTCTGTGTCCCAGTGACAATGAGAACAATGTCTAGACACTCTCACCTGTGACCACGATGTCCAGGGGATCACTGGGAGCTGACAACTGATAGGAGGTGTGAGTAACAGAACCGTAGCATCTGTAGGTCCCTGCAAGGGCAAGCATCATGGGACCGATGGAGAAATTGGCCTTGGAGACCCCATCATGGATCTGTCCAACGAGGCGTGAGGGGTCCTTAGAGATCCCCTCTTTGTGCAGAAAGAAGTGCTCAAACATGATATCTGACCAACATTGCAGGATGACTCTCTCTCCTGATTTCACCAGGGGACCTGGGTGGGCCAGGAGGGAAGGTTTTCTGTGGTTTCCTAGAAAGAGAAGTTGTGAGTTTAGAAGGCATCTCTCTTTATCATCCCATCCATGGCACCTGGAATGAGTGAGGGTTCCCCTCCCCGTGTCTGTCTCTCTCCTCCCTCTCTGCATCTCCGTGTCTTTTCTGTGCCCATATCCCCTGGTGCAGGTGCCTCCATCTGTCTTCCTCCCTCTTCTCTGTCCCTCTGTCTCCAGTAGCCCCTGACTCCCTTGCCACTGTGAAGACAGCCTCATCTCTTGGGCTGTTGTATCTGTTTCCCACTAATCTCTTTCCTGCTGTCTATGTGGGGGTGGAAGAGGACAGGCTGCATGTCCAGGCTCTTAGCAGCCTGAATCAATCTCTTTTGAACAAATCCCCAGTTCAAGTGATTCTCTTGCCTCAGCCTCCCCAGTCGTTGGATTACTCGCGCCCACCACCACATCTGGCTATCCTTGTTTGGTTTCCTAACTTGTCCTTGACCTGGGTTCCTGTGTTGGTTTCCTGTTGCTGCTGCAGAAAATTACCACAAACATGGCAGCGGGAGAGAACACACTGACCCCTTCCACTTCTGGAGACAGAAATTGGATCCAGTTCTCCCTGTGCTGAAATCAAGGTGTCTACAGGGCTGCGTTCCCTCTGGAGAATCAGCGAATCAGTTCTCTTGACTTCTCCAGCCCTTAGAGGCCACCTGCATTCTGTGACTAGTGGTCTTTCTCCACCTTCAAAGCCCGCAGTGGCTGATAGCGTCTCCCTCCCACTACACTGCTCTAATCCCCACTCCCCTCTTCCTCCACCTCTCATGTGGACCCTTGTGATTACACTGAGCCCAGTGGGACAGTCCAGGCTGTCTCCCCATCTGAAGGTCAACTCATCAACAACCTGAGCTCCACCTTCCCCTTCAGTCCCCTGCCCTGTAACATAAATAGTCACAGGCTCCAGGGATTACAATGTAGCCATCATTGGGGACAGTGATTCTTCCCACCACAGCACCCATTTCCCCTGTATTCAATCTCCCTTGACCCCAAATACAGTCAGGGCCTGGGTGATGGGACCCTGACGGACACCCCCACCAGAAGCTCTGGGATTCAGGAGGTGGGACAGTGAGAAGCCCAGACGGAAAGCCTCTGACCTGTGACCATGATCACCACGGGGTTGCTGGGTGCCGACCACCCAGTGGGGGAGTGTGGGTGTGAACCCCGACATGTGTAGTTCCCTGCATGTGCTGTGGTCACAGGGCTCATGTTGAAGCTCTCCTGGAATATTCTGCCATGGAAGATGGGAATGTGGATTCTGTCTTCTTTGTATAGCATGAAATTGTTAAACCTATGACGATAGTGACACCGAAGAGTCACGTGTCCTCCTCGAGGCACCACAGCGCTGGGCCAGGCAGACAGGAAGGGTTTGTCCTGACCACCTGGGGGAGAAGGAGGCACTGCCTTAGAGAGGAGGATGTGGAGCCGCCCCTCACTCCCAGTGCCCAGAAGATTCTCCCCATTTCCACTTTCTAAGGCTCCTACCACACCTGGGTGCCCAGGGCTACAGGAAGGACCCATCCTGCATAGACTTGGCGTCTCCCTACAACAAGTGTCAGCTGAGAACTTTGAGCAAGTTGCTGGAGAAGCAACTCTTACTAGATTTTAATACTGCAAAATTACTCATATAAAACAACACAAAGTAGACACGGCATGGAGGGCAAGTCCTATGTGAATGGAATATCAGCCAATTGATGAACTGAGCCCCCATCAGAGGATTTGGAATGTCAGGGCCATGGCTGTGGTTTCCTCACCTTTTCTGGTAGAAAGACCGCAGCCACACTGCAGCCCCTACCATCACGGAAACGCTGGAGGGTGTGAGTTACACCTTTGTCCTCAGAGGACCTGCTGTTCCTAGCACTGCTTCCCTCTCTTTCTCTGCTGCTGACACCACTTCCTCCCTGCACACCCATCTTGGAGCACCCTAGTCTCACCCCAGTCTTCACAGAGCTTGACTCAGGAAAGGGAATGAAAGGCCGGGGAAGGCAAGGTCAGAAATGTGGGCCGAGCATCCGAGGGTCCCCTCTTCCTAGTGTATGAGAGACTCCCCGACAGGACTTCCCTCCCATTTCAGGAAAATCCTCTTATGTGGGGAGATGACACCCTAAGGTTTGGGGAAGGACTCACCCATGTGTGGACCGGCCCTCTGGACCAAGAACAACCCTAGAAAGAAAGATCATGATGGACCATCCATCTGCAGGCAAACCAGGGCACCCTGCTGCCCCCACTGGGCTGTGCGTCTTGGCAGCCAGGCCCTTGCTGGGCTGAAGGTAAACTCACCCTCGCTGCCTACCTGCCCCCAGGAACAAGGATCTCGGCTGTGCAGAGACTGAGCCTCCAGGCCCAGATCTCTACCTCCAGGCCTAGATCTACACAACAGGCCCAGATCTCCACTCCAGGTCCGTATCTCCACTCCAGGCCCATATCTCCTCTCCAGGCTGGTAAGTCCACTCCAGGCCCATATCTCCACTCCAGGCTCCTATCTCAACTCCAGGCCCATATCTCCTCTCCAGGCTGGTAAGTCCACTCCAGGCCCATATTTCCACTCCAGGCTTCTATCTCCTCTCCAGGCCCATATCTCCTTTCCAGGCTTGTATGTCTGCTCCAGGCCCGTATCTCCACCCCAGGCCCATATCTCCACTCCAGGATCATATCTCCACTCCAGGCCCAGATCTCCACTTCATGCCCTTAACTCCACCTCCGGGCCCATAACTCCACCTCTAGGCCCATATCTCCACTCCAGGCCCATATCTCCACTTCAGGCCCATATCTCTACTGCAGGCCCATAACTCCACCTCCAGGCCCATATCTCCACTCCAGGCCCATCGCTCCACTTCTAGGCCCATCACTCCACCTCTAGGCCCACATCTCCCCTCCAGGCCCATATCTCCCCTCCAGGCCCATCTCTCCACCCCAGGCACATATCTCCACCCCAGGCCCATATCTCCACTCCAGGCCCAGATCTCCACTCCAGGCACATATCTCCACCCCAGGCCCCTATCTCCACTCCAGGCCCAGATCTCCACTCCAGGCCCAGATCTCCACTTCAGGCCCATAACTCCACCTCTAGGCCCATAACTCCACCTCTAGGCCCATATCTTTACCTCCAGGTCCAGATCTCCATCCCCTCACTCCCTCCCTCGATTCCCTTCCAGGACTCACCAACACACGCCATGCTGACGACCATGAGCGACATGGTGCTGCCGGTGCAGACAGGCGGCTGCGCCCCAGCTCAGCTCAGCAGCGCACAGGATGTTATTCGGCGCCCTGCCCATGCAGTTTACATGTTGACCACATCATGGGAGGGTGACGTACGCAGGCTCTTTCTACCTTGCATGAGGCCCAGTGGGTGCTCGCTCAAGAGCGGAACATGGCTTCCTGGAAATTGCTCTCACTAGAATTGACACCTCGCGTCCTTCACTATGACCAACTCAAAACACGTCTCAGATCCAACCTCCCGAACATGAGATGCCTAAAATCTGTGCTAACATGAAAGACTTTTCATGTATTTTTATTGTTTTTATCTGAGATTCAAACTCTTCTTCCTGTGTAATATGCAAAATATCTAATAGGTATTATTAAGGTTTTCAGAGCAATTGTGACAATAAACCATTAGAATTTTTCATGATTGTATTTCTAGTATTACAGCAGAACCAGTTCAAATGATTTAAACTCCCAGGGAAGGATTATGCAATTATTTACAATCTTAGAATTGTACTTTATCAGCAAAAATCACAACATGTAAATTCTGGATTTTTGTAGATTTATCTAGAATTTGTCTCATGTCCCAAGATTCCAGAGTTCCAACTCATGGTTTGCTCTCTCTCTGTCTCTCTGCCTCCCTCATTTTAAATTTTACAGAAATATCCAGTAACATAATGCTATAGAAAATCAATTTCCCCAGCACTTTGGAAGCCGAGGTGAGTGATCAACCGAGGTCAGGAGTTTGAGACCAGCCTGGCCAATATAGTGAAACCATGTCTCTGCTAAAAATACAAAAATTAGCCATGCCTGGTAGCAGGCACTTGTAATGCCAGCTATTCAAGAGGCTGAGGCACGGAATCCCTTGAACCTGGGAGGCGGAAGTTGCAGTGAGCCGAGATCGTGCCACTGCACTCCAGCCTGGGCAACAGAGCGAGACTCTGCCTCAAGAAAAATAAAAAAAGCATAGCAAATAGCCTATAATAAATAACTAGAGGACTCCAGCTACCAAATTTTAGGGGTTGTATAAGGCTGCATAAAATGCAGCATTCTCAAGAGAGTGGACAGAGAGAGAGCCACTGAGCAGAAAACAGTGTCTAAAATACATCCGTGTACACACAGTCCCTTTATAGTTGACAAAGGCTGCCATGTGGTTTAAGGTGGAATAGAATGTCTTCTCAATAAATAACATGGGCCCAAGGGTTACACATAGAGAAAAATATATCTAAACGTATTCTCACACTATAAAACACTTGTTTATTTTATCTTGTTATTGTAATTTTTTTATGTTTTATATTTAAAATTGAGAAATAAAAATTATATACAGTCATCCCTCACTATTCGTGGGTGATTGGTTTCAGGATCTCCACTCAGATAGCACAATCTGCAGACGCTCAAGCCTCTTACATGAAATGGCACAGCATTTGCAAATAACCCATGCACATCCTCCTGTGTACATGAAATCATCCCTTGATTATTTATAATTCCTGATACAGCCTACACACAGCTTCATTTGTGTCCATTCAACATAGTTTTGCTTTTTGAAACTTTGTGGATTTTTTCTCTGAATATTTTTGATTTATATTTGGTTCAATAAACACCTGTAAATCCCACAGATACAGAGGACCGACTGTATATTTATAGTATGAAAGATGATGTGTTGATATGTGTCCCCGTGGAGATGAGACTAACAAGGCCTATGACTCTACAAATGTTTCATCATGGAATGACTCTGCCAGCTTTCCAGGTCTGCAGAGAGTAAGAATATCACTTGTTCATGTGATTCACGATCCTTGGAACCTCTTATGTGCTGCATCTTTGGATGGAAATTGGAGTCTCAGAGACAAATCAGGCTCCACCCTGCTTCCAGAAGCTCCGAGTCCAGGGGTGAGAACCCAGTGGAGAACAGTTGGAGTTATTTGGACATGGTAATGATAACACTGGAAACTTTCAGCCAAAAAAAGAGTCACCTAAAGAATGAAGGCAGACATGTTTATTTGAAGAGGAGAGAACTACACTGAAATCAAAAAAATTTTATAAGGTTTGCTGATGCCAGAAGGCTGAAAAATAGTCTGAGGAAAGGTGGAACAGCACGAGGGAAGGTGGAACAGCACGTGTCTAAGTGCCGTGTTAAGAGAGAGCCTCTTGTATGTTTGGAATTGTGAGTTCCTCAGTGTGATTGCAGCCTCAAGTAGACTAGGAAGTAAGCCAGTTAGGTTGGAGAGGTGGGCAGGGGTCAAGTGAAATAGAGAATTGTGGGCTAAGCAAAGGAGTGTGTTTTCTCTGCAGCAGGCAGTGGGGACCTTAGACATTGGTAAGCAAGAGACAGGCACCAGATTTGTGGTGTGAGGAAGAGTGATGCTCTAAGATGGAGACTCACGCCTTCAGATTCCAGCTGCTGGTACATTAGAGCTGGCAAGCTGGGTTTGAGACAGGGCTGTTGTCTCCCTAGAAGATCCCATCAAGGCCTGACTGTGGTGCTCATGGGCAGGAGACAACGCTCTGGGCTCAGCATTTGGAAGTTCTATACACACGCTGGTATCTGTTGAGGGTCTCTTGCTCCTCTGAGAAGGGCCAGTGATTTTTCTCTGTGTGAAAATGCAGTGATCCAACTGTGCGTATGTCACCTCCTGAGGGTCTTGTTCATCAGAGTCCTGGAGAGAGGGAAATCCTGAGTGAGGGAGGGTGTTCACATTTTTCAGGACTATTTCGGAATAAGACTGTATCCATGAGGCTGGGCTAGGAGGACCTACCTCCCTGTTCACTGTTCTGTGTCCCGCAGGCTCTTGGTTCATTACAGCAGCATCTGTAGGAGACGGAAGCAATCAAAACAGCTGGGAGGGCACTTCTGGGTCCTCATTTCATGAACAGATACCAACACACAGGGGGAGGCCATAGGTGCCTGAGGTCCCTCAGCTGCCAACAGCCAGACTCAGACATTCCATCTCTCTGAGTGCAAGACCCCATTCCATGAATAGCTGTCAGTTCCCATCCCATTGATTCTATCTCCCACTTTCTGCCTGTCATGGAATCTTCTCCTGGATGTGAGTGGCTGCAGGGGACGTGAGGATACAGTTCACAATCAGGCAACGGTCTGTGAGCTGAAGGCAGGGGCAGGGTGTCTGGTGCTCTCTCTAGAAAGCTCTGCCTCTGGCTCCTGCCTTGGGCCAGAGACTTTCCTGCCAGTGAGGAACACACACCTGCGTGCTCCCATCCTGCTTCCGCACAGGGCCCTGAGTTCTCTGGCCTCTGCTTCGTGAGGCTTACTTTTTTTTTGGAGCACCAGCGATGAAGGAGAAAGAAGGGAAGGATGGTAAAGAGGATGATGGCCACTGAGTACCTAATCACAGCATGCAGGTGTCTGGCGATACCTGGAGGAAGATGGGAATCCAATAAGAAGCTAACCATAGCAGTTCCTCTTTGTGGATTGTCTCTCATTTCTTGGTTGCCAGGCAACCACATAAAACACCTCTTTAAGACAAGCACCCACGAGGCGGGAGACCCAGCTTTCTCCTGCTTTCTCCGTTATAGTTTTCATAATAACAATAGAATGTGCTGATGATACAACTGCTATTGTTTCAATGTTTGACCCCTCCAAACCCCACTTTGAAATTTAATCCCCAGTGTGGGAGGTTGTGCCTATTGGGAGGGGTGTTTTGGTCATGGGGGTGGATCCATCATGAATAGATTAATGCTGTCCCCAGAGGACGGGGTTAGCAAGTTCTCCCTCTATTAGTACCCTGGAGAGTTGATTCTTAAAAAGAGCTTGGAAGCTCCATCACACCCCCTTTCTCCCTCTCTTGCCATGTGATCTCTGTGGTCTCTGCACACGCAGGACCCCCTTCTCTTCTGTCAGTGTGGGAGCAGCCTGAGGCCGCAGCCAGAAATAGATGGTAGTGTCCTGCTTCTAGTACAGCGTGCAGATCAGTGAGCCAAACACATCTCTTTTCTTTAGAAGATACCCAGGCTCAAGTGTTCTTTTATAGCAACAAAAATAGGCTAAGACAGCAACATCCTGAGATCAGGAGGAACGTCTCAGAACAGCCTGGGCTGTCTTCCTGTTCTTCCTGGAGGAGAACATCATGCAGTGCTTTAGCTGAGTGTTCCCTGTGGCTCCAGGGTACAAAACCCAGGCTGGGCTGCTTTCTGGCTTCCCCCAGCTACAGTGCACATGAAGTGACTCCATGTGTCCTGAGCAGTTTTTCTGAGCCTTGAGGGACTGGCTCACCCTGAAAGGAAGGTTTCTGTTGTCACTCGCTGCTTATCTATAAGTAATGAACCTGCCTATGTAATGTATTCCCTGTGTGTTCTGTCTCCCTGGAGTGATGGTGAGTGATAGAAATTGGCACAGCCCCAGGTGCAGTATGGGAGGTGTTTAGAGTCTTCTCTGGGAAGACTGGACTGGGATTGATACACAGTGAATGTGCTTTACAGTTTCTACATCCACAACCCTCTTGACTCAAACAAATTACATTCTCCAAGAAAAGGAAAAAACAGTGACATTGAAATCAACATAAGTGAGGTTGAGCTGTCTTATATCAAACAGCCAGGAAATAATGATGAAGCTCGTGGGCAACATGCTACTTTTGTCATCTTGGGAGTCAGATATTAGGCTGCTGTTCCACCCGAGAGTCTGGGGGAAAGACCACCCCCTCCATCATCTGTTGCTTCAATACAGCCTGTCTTTCTGTGAATTACTCCAAAAGGTGACCAGGAGATAGTGCTGGCACTGGTCTCTGAGTCTACGATCTGAACTCCAAAGAATATTAGTTTTTACCTCCCCATGATCTATCTGTATCATTAATGTGATTGGAAGTAGGGGTGAGGTGGGGGATTTGGGTGAAGGGGCAAGTTTTGTGCCATGAACAGATCACGTTCTCTATTCCAGGACCTGTGCTGGTGGGTTTCACATTTTCCATATGATCTCATGCTCACAGAAAGCCAAATAAGGAAGATGTTTTCGCCTGATTTTCTTACGGATAGGATAAAGGATCAAAGAAGTCATTATAGAGAAATAGAAAAATGATGATTGGAATTGGTGTGCCTTTGTCATTCGTGTATGTTATATTATATTTATGTATTCTTTATTTTTATTTTTTGCCATGGAGTCTCACTCTGTCACCTAGGGTGCAGTGCAATGACGCGATCTTGGCTCACTGTAACCTCTCCCTCCCTGGTTGAAGCCATTCTCCTTCTTCAACTTCCCGAATAGCTGGTATTACAGGCACGCGCCACCACCCCCAGCTAGTTTTTGTATATTTAGTAGAGATGGGGTTTCACCATGTTGTCCAGGCTGATCTCGAACTCCTGATCTCACTTGATCCAGCCTCCTCAGCCTCCCAAAATGTTGGGTTACAGGTGTGAGCCACCGTTCAGAACCTTGTGTGTTATATTATAATAGGTCTCTTCCTTTGCACCACCCCTCATGTATCTCTCACTCCTCTGCCAAGTATTGATTTACATGTAGGAAAAATAAATCTCAGAAAGAAATCAATGAAGTGAAGATTAAACAATTAGGAAAAATCAAACCAGGCAAGCCCTCCCTGCAAATTACTCTACCTCACAAACACATCTTGTGTCCATCTTTCATTCATTTAGTGTCTAAATCAGCACCACATTTCACCAGGGGGGCGGGAATTGCCTTTTCCACAGTCTCCTAGATTCCAGTTATGCACCTGGGCCTCCCTTATTTTCATGTCAGTCACTATTCATCATGTAGGGATTCCCAGTTAGCCCCGAGGTAAGTCCAATGGCTGTGAGTATCAAACACACGCTCCTTGTTCCTCCTTAGTTTCCTGTGTACCCAGAGTGCTCTCTGTCTCTCCACAGTCGTCTTGTCATTCTCCCCATGTCATTCCCAGCATTTCAGGCAGAGCCTCTTCCTTCCACATAACATTGTTTTCACCTTTGTGCCTTCACGGCTGACAGCTGTGTGGAAAATCCTTCCGCCAATCTTCCAGGGGTTGATCTATTTTTTTCATTAAGGTCACAAGTATTATTTGATCAGTGAGAACTTCTCTGTCACCCGAAATTATACACTCAGCATTATCTATTATTTCTTTTAAAATACGGCTCGGCGCCTTGGCTCACGCCTCTAATCTCAGCACTTTGGGAGGCTGAGACGGGCGGATCCCTTAAGGTTGGGAGTTTGAGATAGCCTGGGCAACATGGTAAAACCTTGTCTGTACTAAAAAAAAATACCAAAAAAAAATTAGCCAGGCGTGGTGGGACATGGGTGTAATCCCAGCCTCTCGGGAAGCTGAGTGTAGAGAATCGCTTTAACCTGGGAGGTGGAGGTTGCGGTGAGCCGAGATCCCGCCACTGCACTCCAGCCTGGGGCACAGAGGGAGACACCGTCTCATAAAAACAACCAATCAATCAATCATTCTCATGCACAGATGCTTCCCAATGGATCATTCATTTATTGGTCCACTGGTGCATTCATTTTCTGCCCTCCCATTTAATCCTTTGCAATATCAGTGTCCAAGAGCAGAGGCCAAATGCACCTTGTTTACCATTTGTGGAAAGGATAAGAATGCCGCCCCACCCCAAAATGTTCCTGTCCTAGTCGCCATATCTTGTGAATATGTTATTTTACATGGAAAAAAGGAATGCAGATTGCAGATGGAATTACGGTTGCTAATCAGCTAACCTTAAAAGGAGGGTATCCTAGATGATTTTAGGGAAATTATGATGGATTATCTTGGTGTTTCCAATAGAATGCCAAAGTCCTTAAAAGATGAGGAAGAAGGCAGAGCAGCATTCAGAGAAAGAGGTGTGGACAAGGAAGAAGGGTCTGAGTGATGCCGTGTGAGAGGCGTGACCAGCCTTTGTGGACTTTGAGGGAGGAAGACGGGGACCAGGAGCCAAGGAATGTGGGAGCCTCTAGGAGCTGGGAAAAGTGAGGAAGCAGATTCTTGCCTGGAACATTCAGAGGGAAGGCAGCCTTGCTGTCACCTTGATTTTAGCCCAGTGAGATGATGCATTTCATACTTCTGAGCTACAGCACCATGAGATATTTTTTAAAAATGTGGTTTCCATCCACGAAGCTTGTGGAAATTTGTTATGGCAACATAGGAAAAGGTTCCACACTGCACAGTCTGAGCATGGGGCAGTGGCTGAACGAGTAAGTGGAAGTGTCATGTGCACGGATGAACTACGTTCTCTCTTACTGCAAAGCTCTTGTTCCACTAAGTCAACCAGGGTTGGATCATGACAGACAGGAGCTCATTCCTTGGCAAGTAGAACTTCTCTACAAATACACCACCCTCAAAAATGTTCCCCGTCCTTCCCCTTCTCAAGCCCCCAGGCATTTGTCCTCCCAGTTAGGAATGCAGGCAGAACAAACACAGCATTTTTCCTGAGAAGAATGTCTGATTTGCACTCATCCTTCTACCCTGAGGTCTCAGCAGCAGAAAATTAGAGATTAAGAGATTTCACTGAGCCCTGTGCTGGGCCCAGATCCCTTTCGCTGTTGGAGTGTCTGGGGTTCAGAGACAATGGAAGACAGGCCCACAATCACAGAGCTGGCAGGTGCTGAGCCAACGCTTGAATCCAAGGCTTCTACCTCCCCAGGTTTCCAAAAGCAGAGATAAGAGGGGTCCTTCACTTACCAGTTTTGAAGCTTGGTTCAGTGGGTGAAGGCCAACTACTAGAAGGGTTTCCTAGAACATGGGACAGGAGAGAGGTGTGGCAATGAGGATGCCTGTCTTCTACTCAATGGAAATCTTTGAGGTTGGTTCATGGCCAACATTCTATTATCTAATGTTGGGCCCTGGGAGTCCTGGCATCCCATTCTCCATAATCATTGTAGGTGACACCAACTATCTTGAGACTTCAAGGTATAAGGAGAAAACAGGAGCATCACACTACCTGACTTAAAAATATGTTACAGAGCTGTAGTAAACAAAACAACATGACATTGGCATAAAGAAAAGCACATAAAACAATGGAGCAGAATGAAGAACACGGATGTAATCCACCCATTTACATCCAATGGACTTTGACAAAGGTTCGAAGAATCTACAATCTGGAAAGGACAGTCATTTCAATAAATGGTGCAGGGAAAACTGGATATCTACATGCAGAGGGATGAAACTGCACCTCTACCTCTCACCATACACAAAAATCAGATGAAAATGGATTAATGACTTAAGACCTGAATCCATTAAATGTCTAAAAGGAAACACTGGAGAAATGCTCCAGGACATTTGTCTGAGGGAAGACATTTTGTTTAAAACCTCAAAAACACAAGTAATCACAACAACAACAAAAAAATAGACCATTGGGATTATATCAAATCAAGCAGCTTCTGCACCGCAAAGGAAGCAACCAATGAAGTGAAGAAGAGACAACCCACAGAATGGGAGCAAATATTTGCAAACTATGCATCTGAGATGGGATTAATAACTAGAATATAAAAGAAGCTCAAACACCTCAATAAAACTAATAATTTAATTATAAAATTAGTAAAAGACCTGAACAGACATTTCTCAATGAACAAAACATACAAATGAACATATATACATTGCATATATGAAAAAGTGCTCAGTATCACTAATCATCAGAGAAATGCAAATGAAGTCACAATGAGCTATCATCTCACCCCATTACAATGGGTTTTATCTCAGAGACAGACAAAACAAATGTTGGCAAGGTGGTGGAGAAAGGAGAACCCTGATACACTGTTGATAGGAATGTAAATTAATACAGCCATTACAGAGGAGAAGAATATGGAAGTTCCTTAAAAACTAAAAAGAGATTAGGCACTGTGGCTCACGCTTGTAATCCCAGCACCTTGGGAGGCTGAAGTGGGCAGATCACTGGAGGTCAAGAGTTCGAGACCAGCCTGGCTAACATGGTGAAACCCCGTCTCTACTAAAAATACAAAAATCAGCCAGGCGTGGTGGCGGGCACCAGTAATCCCAACTACTCGGGAGGCTGAGGCTGGAGAATCACTTGAATCCTGGAGGTAGAGGTTGCAGTGAGCCCAGGTGGTGCCATTGCACTCCAGCTTGGGCAACAAGAGTGAAACGCTATGTCAAAAAAACAAAAAGCATAAAACAAAACCTAAAAAGAGAACATCCAGAGGATCTAGCAATTCCACTAGTGGGTGTAAATGCAAAGAAAAGGACTTCAGTGTATTGAAGTGACATCTGCACTCCCATGACTGTTCCAGCACTGTTCACAGTAGCCAAGATGTGGAGTCAACCTACCTGCCCATCAGTGGATGAATGGATAGAGAGAATGTAGTACATACACACAATGGAGACAACTCATCCATACAAAGAGAAACGTCCTGTCATTTGCAGCCACATGGATGGACTGGAGGTCATTACAAGGATTGCCATTTCTTACTCATATGCAGGATGTAAAAGGTGGACCTCATGAAGGTAGAGAGTAGAATGGTGGATACCAGAGGTTAGGAAGGAAGGGGTGGAGGGTAACAAAAGAAGAATATAAAAGTATTTATTTATTTATTTAGAGACAGAGTCTCTCTGTGTCACCAGGCTGCAGTGCAGTGGCATGATCTCAGCTCACTGCAACCTCCTCCTCCTGGGTTTAAGCCACTCTCCCGCCTCAGCCTCCCAAGTTGCTGGGATTATAGGCGCCTGGCACCATGCCTGGCTAATTTTATTTTTTTTGTCTTTTTAGTAAAGATTGGTTCCCCCATGTTGGCCAGGCTGGTCTCCAGCCCCTGATTTTAAATGATCCACCTGCCTTGGCGTCTCAAAATGCTGAGATTACAGGCGTGAGCCACTGCACACAGCATATAAAGGTATTTATGATCCCTAGATTTTACACTTAAAAATGGTAAAGTTGATAAATTATATAGGTATATTTAACCTCAATCAGCATTTTTTCAAAGGAAAAGAAAAAGTGTAGGGGTTGCTGGTGATGACATCTCTGTGTAGGTGAGAGGCCAGGGTGGGCTTCTGGGAAATGGGTAAGGTTGAGGGGCTGAGGGAACCTCTGATCTCCCCAAACTGAGCCCAGTCTCCCTCCTCTGGGTCTGTCCTGACCACTTTCTCCATCTGCCTGGGTACCCGGAGCCCTTACTGCAAGCTTCCATGCAGGCCATGCAGGAGGGTTTGGAGGTGCCCTGTCTGCCATCCTGTGCCCTGATCCCACCCTCACACCATGCTGCATCTTCTCTCCACATCTGTCCATGCTTCTCTCCATCATCAGCAGGAAGCTCCTCAGCTAAGGCTCTAGGACCATAGGACATGGGACAGACATTGGCTTTCCTCACCTGTGACAGAAACAGGCAGTGGGTCACTCGGGTCTGACCACTCGTAGGGAGATCCATGGAAAGAGCCGAAGCATCTGTAGGTCTCTCCGTGGGTGGCAGGACCCAGAGGGAAGTCGGCCTGGAATGTTCCATTGATGCTGGGCACTGCAGGGAGCCTAAGTTCATGGGCTTCCCCCTCCCTGGATAGATGGTAGATGTCAAAGGAGCTCTGGGAGCTGCAGGACAAGGTCACGTTCTCTCCTGCGCGAACCGTGGGGCCCGGCCGGGCTGTAAGCGAAGGTTTCTCATATAGACCTGGAAGGAGAAGAGGCAGTTTCCTCAGGGAGGTTCTTCCTTGTCACAGCTCCCCTCCCACCTGAGCTGAGAACTCACTGCCCTGCTCTATGGCCTAGTGCTCTCTCTCTCTCTCTCTCTCTCACCCTCCACCCCCAACTCTTCCTGTCGATCCCTCCCTATGTGGTTCCAGCCTGGTGGTGGCATCAGCAGTGCACCCTTGCTGATCTCAGGGTAGCCAACCTTCTTGTTTGGTTTTTTAACTTGTCCTTCACCTGGGTTCCTGTGTTGGTTTCCTGTTGTTGCTGGAGAAAATTATCACAAACATGGCGGCAGGAGAGAACACACTGACCCCTTCCACTTCTGGAGACAGAAATCAGACCCTGTTCTTCCTGGGCTACAATCAAGGCATCTGCAGGGCTGCATTCCCTCTGGAGACTCGGGAGAATCAGTTCCATTGATTTCTCCAGCCCCTTCGTGGCTCGTGGTCTTCCTCCACCTTCAAAGCCCACAGTGGCTGGTGGAGTATCCCACGATGCTGCTCTAATCCCCATTCTCCTCTTCCTTCTCCACTCATATGGACCCTTGTGATTACACTGAGCCCAGTGGGAGGGTCCAGGCCATCTCCCCATCTCAAGGTCAACTCATCAACAACCTGAGCTCCATCTTCCCCTTCAGTCCCCTGCCCTATAACATAGTCACAGGCTCCAAGGATTACAATGTGGCCATCGATGGGGACAGTTATTCTTTCCAACACAGCACCCATTCCCCTGTATTCAATCCCCCTTTACCCCAAATATAGTTGGGGCCTGGATGATCGGACTCTGGTGGACACCCCCACCAGAAGCTCTGGGACTCAGGAGGTGGGACAAGGAGAAGCCCAGACAGGAGCCCTCTGACCTGTGACCATGATCACCAGGGGGTTGCTGGGTGCCGACCACTCAGTGGGGGAGTGCGGGTGAAAACCTCGACATCTGTAGGTCCCTGCGTGTGCTGGGGTCACAGGGCTAATGAGGAAACTGTTCCAGAATATTCTGTTGTAGAGCTCAGGGACAGGGACCCCATCTTTCTTGTACAGCGTGAAGATGTTAAACCCACGACGACAGTGACACCGAAGAGTCACGTGTCCTCCTTGAGGCACCACAGCGCTGGGCCAGGCAGAGCAGAAGGGCTTGTCCTGACCACCTTGGGGAGAAGGAGATGCCGCCTCAGAGAGGAGTATGTTGAGCTGCCCCTCCCTCCCTGTGCTCAGAAGATTCTCCCCATTTCTTCTTTCTAAGGCTCCTACCACACCTGGGTGCCTGGGGCTACAGGAAGGACCCATCCCGCATAGACGTGGCGTCTCCCTACAACAAAAGTGTCAGTTGAGAACTGAGCAGGTGCTGAGTAAGGGACTCTTACTAGATTTTAATACTGCAAGATTAGTTACACCAAACAACACAAAGTAGACATGGGGTGGAGGGTATGACCTTTGTGAATGGAATATTAGCTAATGCCTGAACCACAATAAACAACTGAGCTCCATCAGAGGATTTGGAATGGCAGGGTCGTGGCTGTGGTTCCCCCACCTCTTCTGGCAGAATGACAGCAGCCACACTGCAGCCCCTACCGTCATGGAAACGCTGGAGGGTGTGAGTTACCCTCTTGTCCTCAGAGGACCTGCTGTTCCTAACACTGCTACCCTTCCCTCCTCTGTCGGTGACACCACATCCCCCCACACACCCCAGCTTTGAGCACCTCAGTATCCCGCCTGGGCCACACAGAGCTCAACTCAGCCATGGGGAAGAAAGGCTGGGGAGGGCTAAGACAAAACAGAAGGCTGAGCATACCAGGATCTCCTCTTACTAGTTCATGAGAGACTCCCAGGATCTCCTCTTACTAGTTCATGAGAGACTCCCAGGATCTCCTCTTACTAGTTCATGAGAGACTCCCAGGATCTCCTCTTACTAGTTCATGAGAGACTCCCCCCAGGCCTTCCCATGGTCAGCCCATCAGCCCACCCTCTGTGCTGCCTCCCTCCCATTTCCGGAAAATTCACTTGTATTGGGGTGAAGATGGCAACCCATCATTTGGGGAAGGACTCACCCACGTGTGCCCACACACTCTGGTCCAAGAAGAACCCTGCAAAGAAAGATCATGATGAACTATTCATCTCGGCAGCAACCTACCCTTTCCTCCTGAGCCACTGGGCGCCACGCTGGACTGAAAATTAACTCATCCTCACCACTCACTTGCTTCAGAACATGGCTCTCTGCTGGGGAGACACCCAATCTGCAGGCCCATAGTGTAACCCTGGTGCTCCTTCCCTTCCAGGACTCACCAAGACATGCCAGGATGATGACCGTGGGTGACATGGACATGGTGCAGCTTCTGCTGCCAGGACGCAGTGACTCGGCTCGACTGACCGGTGCAGAGGATGTGGTGAGGGGCCCGGATCGTGCAGTTGACACATTGACCACAACATGTGAAGGGGACATAGGTAGGCTTCTTCTACGTCATATGAGGTTCAAGTGGTGAATCAGTCAAGGGAGGAATGAGGGTTTCTGAAAACTGCAGACTAGACTTGTCACTTCACATCATGCGCAACGGCCAGGCTCAAAACACATCTCAGACTCACTTACCCCTGCACGGGACGATTGAATTCTGCACTCACATGAGGAACTTTTGATGTATTTTTTTTTGTTTCTACCTGAGATTCAAACTCTCCTTGATATGTAATATGCAAAATACCTAATAGGTTTTATTAACACTATAGAGCAATCGTATTAAATAAATCATCATAATTTTCCATGGTTGTATTTTTCCTGTTAAGCCAGAAACAGATAAAATGATTTAAATCCCAGTAGAAAAGACTATATAGTTATTTCGCATCATAGAATTCCACCTTATTAGCAAAAACACAATATGTCAATTGAAGGTCTGGTCGTGTTATCTAGAATTTGTCTTATGACACAAGAGTCCAAATTCACAGTTCCCTGTCTCCCTTTTTGTCTCTCTGTAACGTGTGCTTTTTTTCTCCCTGTGTTGTTTGTGTGTCTTTCTTTCTCTCTCTCATTTGAGGAAAAAATATCAGACTGATAACATCCTCCAACTTGATACTGGAATATTGCAATAACTGAAGGTTGAAATCTACACATTTAATGTGCTGTCATTCTTACAAATGTCTCTTATTTACACCTACCTTTCTGGAGTTTGTAAGAACTTTTTCACTATGCATTTTAAATTTGTAAAACTCATAATTTTTAAAAAGGGATGGGTCTCACTGTTTGCCCAGGGTGGCCTTTACTCATTCTATAAGGCTGGCATCACCCTGATACTAAAGACAGAAAAGAATATTAAACAAAAGAAAACTACATGCCAATATTCCTGATGAGCATAGATGCAAAAATCCACAAAAAATACTAAGAACTGAATCCCGCAGCATATCAAAAAGTGAATCCACCATGATCAAGTCAACTTTATTCTTAGGGTGCAAGGTTGGTTGAACATACACAATCAATACATGTGATTCATCACCTAAACAAAACTAAAAACAAAAACCACATGATCTTCTCAACACACATGTAGAACATACTTTTTACTAAGCATTTCTTCATGTTAAAAGCCCTCAACAAGCTAAGCATTGAAGAAACATAACTCAATATAATAAGAGCCGCCTATGACAAACCCACAACCAACATCATACTGAATGAGTAAAAGCTGGAAGAAGTTCCCTTCATAAGTGAAACAAGACAAGAATGCCCACTCTCACCATCCTATTCAACATAGTACTTGAAGTCCTAGACAGAGCCATCAGGAAAGAGAAAGAATTATAAGGCATCCAAGTAAGAAGAGAGTAGCAGAGAGAGGTAGTCAAATTACCTCTGTTTGAAGATGAGATAATTTCTATACCTAGAAACCCCATAGTCTCTGCCCAAAGGCTCCTACATCTGAGAAACAAACTTCAGCACAGTTTAAGGGCAGAAAGTCAATGTACAGGCTGGGTGTGGTGTCTCAGCCTGAAATCTAGCACTTTGGGAGGGCGAAGCGGGTGGATCACCTGAGGTCTGGAGTTCGAGACCAGCCTGGCCAACATGGCGAAACCCTGTCTCTACTAGAAACACAAATATAGCCGGACGGGGTGGTACGCAACTGTAGTCCCAGCTGCTTGGGAGGCTGAGTCAGGAGAACCGCTTGAACCTGGGAGGCAGAGGTTGCAGTGAGCGGAGATCACGCCATTGCACCTCAGCTTGGGCAACAACAGTGAAACTGCGTCTCAAAAAAAAAGCCAAAACAAATTTAATTAATGAGGAAAAGGGTATTTGTGGTGTCCATCATGATGTTTTCATATAGGTACACATTGTGGAATGGATGAAACAACCTCTTTATCTATTTATTTTTTCACATACTTGTATGTTTTGTGTGTGTGGTGAGAACATGTAAAATCTAATCTCTTAGTAATGTTCAGTACACCATATGTTGCTATTAAATGGAGTCACCAAGACATACAATAGATCTCTTGAACCGATTTCTTCTAACTGAAATTTTGCATCCTTTGACCAACATCTCTTCAATCTCTCTCCTTCCCAGGTTCTTTCGACGACCATTTTACTGTTCCTCTAGGTTCCACTTCTTACACTCCACACATGAGATCATGTGGCATTTGTCTTTCTGTGCCTGGATTGTTTCCCTTAACATAATGTCCTCTAAGTTTTTTCACATTGTCACAAATGAGAGGACTTCCTTCTTTGTTGTAAAGGTTGTATAGTACTTCATTACGTTCCTATCGTATACCACGTTTTCTTTGTCCATGCACCCATAGATGGGCAGTAAGGGTGATTCCACATCTTGGCTGTTATGAATAATGCGGCTGTAAACATGGGAATGCAGATATCTCTTCAACATACTGATTCCACTTCCTTTGGATACATGCGCAGTAGTTGGATTGCAGACACATATGGGAATTCTATGTTTAATTTTTTCAGGAACTTCCAGACTGTTTTCCATAATGGTTGTGCTAATTTACATTCCCATCAACTGCATACAAATGTTCCCTTTTCTCCACATCCTCGTTAACCCTTGTTATTTTTTATGTTTTTGATAATGGTCTTTTTTTTTTTTTTTTTGAGACTCAGTCTTGCTCTGTCACCCAGGCTGGAGTGCAGTGGCACAATCTCGGTGTACTGCAACCTCTGCCTCCTGGGTTCAAGCGATTCCCCTGCCTCAGTCTCCAGAGTAGCTGGGACTACAAGTGTGCGCCACCAAACTCTGCTAATTTTTGTATTTTTAGTAGGGATGGGATTTCACCATATTGGCCAGGCTGGTTTCGAACTGCTGACCTCAGGTAATCTCCCTGCCTCGGCCTCCCAAAGTGCCTGAATTACAGGCATGAGCCACCATGCCCAGACTGTTAATGGTCATTCTAAGAGGTGTGAGGTGATATCTCATTCTAGTTTTAATTTTTATTTAGCTGATGTTTAGTAATGCTAATCATTTTTTCATATACCTTTTGGTGATTTGTCTTATTCTTAGAAATGTTTATTCAGATACTTTGCCCATTTTTTTAAGTTGGGTTATTTGATTTCTTACCATTGAGTTGTTTGAGTTTCTTATATATTTTGGATATTAATTCCTTATTAGATGTATGGGTGCAAATATATTCTCCCATTCCATAGGTTGTCTTTCCACTTGTTGAGTTTTTTTTTTTCTTTGCAGAAACTTTCAATTTGATATAATGTTATTTGTCTACTTTTGCTTTTGTTGCCTGGGCCTTTGGGTTAATATCCAAAATGGTTTTGCCCAAGCCAGTGGAGTTTTCCCTTGATTTCTTTTAGTAGTTTTTTTTTTTTTTTAAGATGGAGTCTCACTCTGTTGCCCCGGCTGGAGTGCAGTGGTGCGATCTCGGCTCACTGCAACCTCTACCTCCTGGGTTCAAGTGATTCTCCTGTCTCAACCTCCCGAGTAGCTGAGATTACAGGCACCCACAACCACACCCAGCTGTTTTTGTATTTTTAGTAGAGGCGGGATTTCACCATGTTGGCCATGCTGGTCTTGGAATCCTGACCTTAGGTGATCTGCCCGCCTTGGCCTCCCAAATTGCTGGGATGATAGTCTTTCATCTTACATTTAAGTCATTAATCTATCTTGAGTTGACTTTGTATGTTTTGTGAGGCAAATGTCCACTTCCATTCTTCTGCATGTCTCCCAATCCCATTTATTAAAGAGACTGTTCCTTCTCCATTGTGTGTTCTTGATACATCCCAAAAATTGTTTGACCCTAAATGCGTGCATTTTTTTTCCTGGGCTATGAATCACTTCCATTGGTCTATGTGTCTGTTTTTATGCAAGTACTGTGTTGTTTTAATTACTGTAACTTTGTAATGTAGTTTGTGTTTAGGTAATGTGATTCTTCCAACTTTGTTCCTTTCCCTCTAGATGGCTTTGGTTATTTGAGATCTTTTGTGGTTCCACATGAATTTTAGGACTGTTTTTTCTATTTCTGTAAAAAAAATGTCATTGGATTTTTGATAATGGTTGCATTGAATCACTTTGGATAGAATGGACATTTTAACAACATTAATCCTTCTGATCCGTGAACATGGAATATCTTTCGATTTATTTGTTTATTTCTTGAGTTTTTTCATCAATGTTTTATAGCTTTTGCATACAGATCTTTCTACTCCTTGGGTGAATTTATTCCTGCATGTTTTGTTTTCTGTAGTTATTGCAAATGGGCTTATTTTCTTGTAAACTTTTTTGGATAGTTTGTTGTTAATGTATAGAAACTTTGTTGTTGTTGTTGTTGTTGTTTTGATGATACCCATCCTAAGGGGTATGAAATGGCATCTGGTGTAGTTTTAGTTAGTATTTCCCTAATGATTCGTGATGCTGAATATCTTTTCATGCGTATGTTCTTTGGAGAAATGTCTGTTTCAGTACTTTGCCCATTTTTGAATTGAGTTTATTGTGATTGAGTTTTAGGAGTTGTCTGTATATTCTGGATGTTAATCCCTTACAGGTGGTGTGGTTTGAAAACATTTTCTCCCATTCTGTGGGTTGTCTTTTTACTTTGATAATATCGTCTTAAAAGTTCTTTTTCCTTGCCATGTGAAGTAACTGATGTTGTCTTTTGAGTCACAATATTTCAAAATTTTCATAAAGTCTAACTTGTTTATTTTTTCTGTAGTAGCCTGTGCCGTTGTTGTCACATCTAAAGAATCACTGCCAAATCCGATGTTGTGAAGTTTTCCTTTGTGTTTTCTTCTAAGACTTTAATTAAATTTTATTTGTCAATATTTAGGACTGACAAAAGCTTTTTAACATTCCTGGCACCATCTCAGTTATTGATCTACTCCCAAGATGGATCATTTCAATTAAAACATGTAAAGCATGACCTCACCTGAATGTGTTTGAACTTGCTCTTCTCCCTTTCAAATCGACTCCCTCACTTACATAGTTTGTGTTCAAATGTCAACAAATAAAACATAAAAAGAAATCAATCTTTTCATAGACCCTTTATCTAAAATAGAATAGTAGGTGCCATGACATTTCATCCTTTCATCTTGAATTATTTACTTTTCTACATGAACCAATCCATTCTTCTGTGTGCATGTGTGTGTGTGTGTGTGTGTGTGTAGTTTATCTGTCTACATATAATGTAAACACCAAAAAATAACAGACATTTAGTAATTTTCAAATGAGACTTCAGGAATTAACAATGGCTTGCCATTTTTAGTGTGTTATTATTATTATATTTAGATGAACAGAATTGCCTCAGGAACATGGCCAGGGGCTCATAGTCCAGGAGAACTGTGGCCTGACTCAGGTACATTTTACCTGCAATAACAGCAATTGCAGGTCACTGGAGTCCATCACAATTGGCTGGAGACAAATGTAAGACAAGAATATTTGCAGTTTCCCCAGACTGACACAGTTGCAGGTTCCCCGAAGTAATGAGTCCTGAGACACCTCCAACAAGAGCTAGAAAAGGTATCACTTCAAGAGGAGTTGCAGCCTACTCATTTTAGACAAATGGAGCAAAATTACAGTATCACATCTTTTCCTTTCTCCTTCATAGAATCTGGATGAACAGAACAGAAAGAGTTAATGGAATATAAGATTCCAATTCTCTGGCATGAGAAAATAGACAAGGAAAGGAAGATTCATCTTCATCACATCTCAGACATGCTTGGACACAGGGTCCAAGCACAAAAGAGAAACACATACTTCTTCCCATCCACACTGGGATCCAGGGTCTTCTCCCTCCTGTCAGGCCAGAACTGAGTCTCCACTCCCCAATTTAGTTCCCAGAGATGAAGCCCAATTTTCCTCTGTCTCAAGCTTTGAAGGCCAGCTTTAGCGTGTTCACCATGGATGAATGAAGGTGAGGTCAGAGGTTTGGGAAATGGTCAAGAATGAGGTGAGAAGAGAGCTGTGGAGGCATGGCCCCGGGGAGCTTGGTACCCCCCCATATCCAGAGCCTGTCTGGTCCAGGAGAGTTCCCAACCCTGTGAGCACCAACTCCGGATATTCTGGGCAGTGACCCGAGGGACAGCCTCTTATGAATACAGGCTGTTTTCCTCCAGTGTCTGCTGTGAAACCAGGATGTACAACATGGCCGTGTTCAACCCAACAATGGACTTAGGATTTTGCTGTACGCCAAAACTCAGTGTCCAACTTCCACTCTGTTTAGCTGGAAAAAGAAGGGGTTTGTTCCCATACATCTCACTCCTGTGTTCCTCTTTCAGTCTCAAAGCTCAGATGAAAACAATGAGTGTCACTTATTGTCAATCCTCTTCCCTGCCTTTTCCACACTCATCAGTATTACCGTTTACATTGAGACTAAAGATGGCCAATCACCACTTTTCTTCGGAAAAATCAACCTGATGTTGTACCTACTTTTTTAGAGGTGGAATCAACCTACCCTAAGATGCCAACTACATTTTACTGAATGGACTTTTGTGGATCCCCTCGATGTATATAGTGGCACCTTGAGGTATCATCCCTGTCTTTAGCAAATGAATATTATCCCAAGGACAATATTTCATCACAATTATTCGGGATGGACGAGTGGATATTGTGGTAGCAAGAACATTACTAAAAGTCACAGCTGATACAACACACTTGAAACCCATCTGGCCAATCTCCCACAGACAGAATGTCGCGCCATTCACTCCAGCCAGCTTCAGTCATGTTTCTTCCATTTCCACCTGTGGCCCCTCATGTCTCCACCAGGTCTTAGCCAGCATTGCCAAAAGAGCCAGGAAGACCAGACCAGCCACAACAATCCTGATGGAACTCTCCACAGTATAGTTCTGGAGAACAGGGGCTGGAGGGTGGGGGTAAGATCAGAGACCTTTCCATGTGGGCCAGGCCCCTCTCTCCCCAGAAGCTCTGAAATGGAGCTATTTCCCCATCTCACCTTCATAAAATTCTTCCTGTCCAGAACCCCTCTTCTCCCTATATCATCATGAGCACCTTCAGAAGTCTTTTGCCACAAAAAGAAATTTCTTTTGAAGATATACATTTTTTTGTACATTTCAAAAATGTTCCCAAACTAATTCTCCAAAGCAATAAATGTTTGTGTGTATTGCTGGGTAGGTTATGCATACAAGGAAAGGAAGCATAGTGAGTCTGATTTGGCAGAGGAAACATATGTGGAAATTATATCATTTACTCTCTTTACAAAATTAAGTACAAAATTGAAAACACTGGTAAGAAAGAATGAGCTATAGAGAAAGAAAACATCTGAGATGCTTGTTTCCAAGATGGCTGACTAAATGCTTTTCTGGCATGTCTCATCCACTTAGAAGAACGAGCAGAATCCAGAACAAAAACCATATGATCATCTCAATAGACATAAAGAAAAGCATCTGAAAAGAAATTCAACATCCTTACCTGATGAAAACCCTCAAAAACTTAGGCATAGAAAGAACATACCTCAAAATAATAAAAGCCATAGATGACATATCTAGAGTCAACATCATACTGAACAGGAAAAGTTAAAAGCACTCCTCTGAGAACTGGCACAAGACAAGGACACGGACATCCACCACTTCCTATCAACATAGTACTGGAAGCCTTGTCAGAGCTATTGGGCAACAGGAAGAAGTAAAAATCCAAATTAGAAAAGAGGAAGTAAAATTATTTTTATTTCTGATGCTATGATCTTAAATCTAGAAAATCCTAAAGACCCTGCCAAAAATTCTTATGATTGATAAATGAACTAAGTAAAGTTTCAGAATACAAAATCAATATGTAAAAGCCGGTAGCATTTCTCTACACCTATAATGATCTAGCTGAGAACCAAATCAAGAAGGCAATGCCGTTTACAATAGATACGCAAAATTAAAACACTCAGGAATACATTTAACCAAGGTGGTGAAAGATCTGTACCAGGAAAGGTGTAAGACACCAATGAAAGCAATTATAGATAATACAAAAAAAAAAAAAGAAAAAAAATCCCACGCTCATGGATCATAAGAATTAATATTGTTAAAATGACCATACTGCCTAAAGCAATCTACAGATTCAGTGCAATTCTTATATGAAAATAGTAACACCAGTTTTCACAGAATTAGAAAAAGCAATCCTAAAATTCATACAGAACCAAAAAAGATCCTAATAGAGAAAGCAATTCTAGGTGAATGTAGAAACCTGGAGGCATCATGCTATCTGACTTCAAACTATGCTCTAAGGCTATAGTAACTTAAATAGCACAGTGCTGGTATAGACACAGAAACAGAGATCAATAGACCAGAATAGAGAGCCCAGAAATACAGCCTCATATCTACAGTGAATAATCATTGACGACGTTAACAAAACATACACTGGAGAAAGATTTCCTTTTCAATAAAAGGTGCTGGGAAAACTAAATAGCCATATGCAGAAGAATAAAACTGGACCTGTATCTGTAATCATACACATAAATTAACTTAAGGTAATTAGCAGCTTAAATGTAAATCCAGAACTATAAAATCACCGGTGGAAACCCAAAGAGAAACTCTTCTGGGCATTGGTCTGGGCAAAGAATTCATCACTAAGACCTCAAAAGCACAGGCAATAAAAATAAAACTAGACCAATGGGACTTAATAAACGAAAGAGCTTCTGCCAAGCAAAGGAAATAGTAGCAGGGTGAACAGACAACCCACAGAATGAATGGAAATGTTTGCAAACTATGCACCCAACAGAGGACTAACATCCAGAATTTCTAGGCAACTCAAACAACTAAACATAACCCCTCAAATAATAGCATTAAAAAGTGGGCAAAGGGATATACATAGACATTTTTCAAAAGAAGACATACGAATGGCCAAACAGCGTATGAACATCACTAATCATCAGAGAAATGCAAATTGAAACCACAATGAGATATCATCTTACAGTAGTCAGAATGGCTATTACTAAAAATGCTGGTGGGGAGTGGTGGCTCACGCTTGTAATCCCAGCACTTTGGGAAGCTGAGGCGGGTGGATCATGAGGTCAGGAGTTTGAGACCAGCCTGACCAACATAGTGAAACCCCATCTCTACTAAATATACAAAAGATTAGCTGGGCATGGTGGTGTGGTTCTGTAATCCCAGCTACTCAGGAGGCTGAGGCAGGAGAATCATTTGAACCTGGTTGGTGGAGGTTGCAGCGCGTGGAGATGGCGGCACTGCACTCCAGCCTGGGTGACAGTGGAAGACTCCATCTCAAAAAGAAAAAAAGAAAAAGTGAAACATATAACAGGTGTTGGCAAGGATGCAGAGAAAAGGAAACTCTTATACACTGTTGGCCGGTATGTAAATTAGTATAGCCTCTATGGAAGACAGTATGGAAATTTGGCAGAGAACCAAAAATAGAAGCACCATTCGATCTAGGGGTCCCGCTGCTGGGTATCTACTCAAAAAATACCTGCACCTGTATGTTTATTGCAGCACTGTTTGCAATAGCAAAGATATGAAATCAATCTAAGTGTCTGTGAATGAATGATTGGATTAAAAAAAGGATGCGTGTATACACAACGAAATACTATTTGGTCATAAAAATAAAACCATGTCTTTTGCAGCAACATAGATGGAGCTGGACGCCATTATTTTACATAAAACCACTCAGAAAGACAAATACCACATCTTCTCACTCTACATGGGAGGGGAGTAATGTGTACATATGGACGTAGAGTGTGGAATGACGGACAGCGGAGGCTAGAAGGCTGGAGGGTGGCGGGACGTGGGTGAGTGATGAGAATTTGCTTAATGAGTACAATGTACGGTATTTGGGTGATGGATATAGTAAAAGTCCTGACTTCACTACTCTGCAACATACTCATGTCACAAAATTACAAGTGTACCTCATAAATTTATACTAATAGAAAAGAAAGTCTGTACACAGTAATCAATTGTGATATGTAGATAAAGTCAATATTAAATTTAAACCAGAATAACTAGTTAAAATGTTGTGTACACAACAGTGAAGAGAGTATTTATCCTCTATGACAGAGGAAACCATCAATATTAATGCACAGAAAAAGCAAATAACTGAAACAAGAAAGAGCAGTTTTGTGACAGGGTAAAAATTGACAACAGTTTTAGAATGCTCCTAACTTGAGTTCCAAAAAGAAAGAACGAGAAAACAGGTCAGAAGCAATCTTTAAAGAGGCAATTGTTGATTATTTGGAGGAAGTAGACACATCCATCAATCCACAGGTTCAAGAAATCCAGTGAATGCCAGGCAGAATGAAGTAAACACACCTCACGTTCAACATTACAGAAAAGCAGCATAAAAGCACAACCAACCCTTAAAATTAGCCAGAGGAAAAGGATCAGCTGGTAAGGATTTATAGGGAGCCAAGCATTGTCTTCCCCACAGAAAAAAGGAAAACATAAGCCAGTAGAATAGCATCTTTACCCAGCTAAGATACCGTCGCCAGCCACCGACAATTCCTTACATAGTACAGTTACTGTCCAAGATCAACGCAGGAAAGAAACAGAACTGAAAGACAAAAGGGCAAAGAAAGCTTTTCTCACTGACCCTAAAGGAAATTCTGATGACCGTGCCTCAAAGATAAAGAAAGTGAAACCAGATGGGGTGTCGAAGATTCTGACAATAACTAAGAGCAGAGGAAGAACTAAAAATATGGCTATGCCAAAAATGAATATGGACCATACGATAGTGTATGAAAACACGCCCCTGTGTAATTTCTGAAAAAGATAGAATTATGTATACCACAAAACAAAACATCATATAAGTAAATACAAACATATGTACTAAATATGCTCTAAAATCCTGTTCTTACACAGGAAGAGTGGAAATATGTTTTTATATTTGCAGTTTAATCTCTGAAATGATTAATTTCAATTTTAAAAATATGTAACAACTTCAGGATGAGTACACCATATATGTATTCCTAAACGACATAGATCAAAAATAGAATGTTTGAAATAGAAAACCACAGAAGTCAGTGGGAAAAAAAGGGAATCAGGAAAACACAACGTAATAATAACAAAAATATGATTGGAAGAACTGCTCAAACATGAACAAAAGATTGTCAGAAAGTCTTACTTTCTAAGGCGAATTGTTTGAAATTTACAAAGGACACATCTCAATGTTAACAATTCATGGAGTTTGAAATTAAACAATGTAGAAATATACCAAGCAATCACTGTTAGAAATGTGGTATAACTATATTAAAATTAGACAAAATTAGTCTTTGGGAAAAATCAGCGGAAAACATTAAGCATAAAATGTAGGAAAAAAGCAGGTAAATTTATAGCATTTTAAATTTACCAGGAATATATAATCAGTTTACACTTAACCACTCCCAGTAATATTCCTGCAAATATACATGGAGGAAGAGTCGCGGAAATAAATGGACAGGTAGGCAAATCCACGGCCACAGTGGGGTGTTTAACACTCCTCTTTTCTCAGTTGTTGATAGAAGTGGTTCAGGCAATTAGAGAGGATTTAGAAAGATAATTGCTGGACCTGACCCAAGGTATAAGTCCACTCCCAACCACAGGACTCACTTTCCTTACAAGCACAAGGGCATTTAGAAATCTCTCTGGATTCTGACCAGCCCTCACCATATGGCAGGTCCATGGACTTCTTGGAACACACCAAGCTCATTCTCACATTAGGGTCATCCCCAATGTCCTAAGTCCATGAAAGTTCCTTTCAACACACTCCCCAGGGCTCACTCCCTCTTGTCTCTAAGATCGGAGTTTAAATGTGATCTCTCTGATGAGGTCTCAGTGAGACGTTCCCTCCTGTACACTCCAAATGACAACGTTCCACGTTCATTCATTTCATTCTGTGCATGGCACTTTCACCAAGTGCTAAGGATTCACTCACTAATTCATACATTCATTCATTCATTCATTCACTCATTCCATCATTCACTCATTCATTCATTCTCTCATTCATTCATTCATGTTCTGCCTCTCTCTCCCACCCCACAGCAATGTGAGCATCATGAACCCAGGAGCTTGGCCGTGCTGTCTACTCCTGGCCGTGAAACAGAGAGAACTGATGGTAGGTGTGAAATAAATATTAGATGAATGAGTTAGTGAAGGGGTCATTTACTGGGTGAGCTCAGTTCTCTCTACTCTAATGCCCTCCCTCGGCTGACTTCCCTGAGTTGCCCCCTCGGCTGAGTGAAGTCCCTTCACTGGCAAATGGAACCTCAACCAGTAGCACCTAGGTGGTCTCATACTTTGTTCTTTCCCTCTCCTCTTGCTCCCTAAGGATTATCAATCTCCATGACAGGGCTGGAGAGCAGACAAGCCACACATTCTTTCTGGGGAGAGAGTAACATGGAGTACAAGGCATTCCACATTTAGGAAGAGAACTCAGTTATGGAAGGTCAGAAATGAAAAGTTCCTACAGACCAACACCCAGGTTGGTGGCCACAGCCCTAAATGCTGATGGAGAATCACTGCAAGTCTGTAGGGAAGATGTCTGGCTTGAGGCCACTGAGCGAAGTGGCAGATCCTTCTCAGCCTTCAGTGCTGAGCCTCTGTCCCCTCAGGGATCCACTGACCAATGAGAAGAGCCTCTTCTCATCTCCTGGGATGGAGCTTGGGGCCCCTGGCGAAGGAATGGGCCTGTTTCCACCTGTCATGTTGTCATCTAGCTTGGAAATCCTGCGAGTCCCAGGGAGGCCCTCCCCGAGTCCCCAGAGAAGACTCCCCCACTGAGTCTCCAAGGTGTGGAGAGAGCAAAAAACATCTAGGGTGGAAAATGCCTCCCATCAAGAGACATTGGGGCTCCCCCAACGATGGTTGCATCTGTGCCCCCCATGTGGAAATCACTCTTTGGTGAGAGGTGGGGGCTTCTGGAAATGGGCAATGGCGGGCGGCCAATGCTACCTCTAGTCTTTCCAATCTGAGCCCGGCCTTTCATGCTCCTGAGTCAGCATTGATGCTGTTTACATGTGTCCCAGGTGGGCTTCTGTACAAAGACTGGGAAGTGGTTTATGTGGCCTGTGCTCTATCTGCAAGCTTCAGGTAGGGTTGCAGTTACCACCCCAAACCCTAATGTGATCTGTCTGCCTCGCTCTGTCTGTCTGTCTATGCCTCTTTCTGTATGTTTGCTTTGTGTCTCTTCTGTCCAGCATCTCTGGCTGACACCCCCATGGCCACCCCCTCCATCTGAGGCTCCCCTGAATGTGGCCATTGTAGTCCATCTGAGTCCCACTATTTGGGGAACAGACTGGTTTCCTCACCTGTGACAGAAACAAGCAGTGGGTCACTAAGGTCTGACCACTCGTAGGGAGAGTCACGGAAAGAGCCGAAGCATCTGTAGGTCCCTCCGTGGGTGGCAGGGCCCAGAGGAAAGTTGGCCTGGAAGGTTCCATTGACCTTGGGCACTGCAGGGAACCTAAGTTCATGAGCCTCCCCCTCCCTTGATAGATGGTAGATGTCATAGGAGCTCCGGGAGCTGCAGGACAAGGTCACGCTCTCTCCTGCCTTAACCATGGGGCGCGGCTGGGCTGAGAGAGAAGGTTTCCCACATAGACCTGGAAGGAGAAGAGGCAGTTTCCTCAGGGAGGTTCTTCCTTGTCACAACTCCCCTCCCACCTGAGCTGAGAACTCACTCCCCTGCTCTATGGCCTAATGCTCTCTCTCTCTGTCTCACCCTCCACACCATCTCTCTTTATGTCTATTTCCTCTTTCCACCTTCTCTGTCTCTCTAGGTCTCTGACCTCACTTTCTCACCTCTAGATATGTTTTCCCTTTTTGGATTGTTTTATTCTCTCTGACTCTCCTTGGACTAGTTGACTTGATGTTACTTTTTTTAAATTCTGAGTTTCTCACTTTGTGTCCTGTTCATAACTTTCTGCATATTTCTATCTATTATCTATCGATATATCTATTTATCTATTTGGTGCCTATCTACAAATTCTCTACCTGTCATCTATATCTATATATAATCTATTTATCTATCAATTGTCTATCCAAAAATCATCTATTATCTATATCTATGTATCGTCTCTCTCTCTCTATGATTTCTCTTTGTCTGCCTCTCTATCTCTATGTATTATCTATCTATCTTCATCTTCATCATCTCTATGTATCATCGATTAATCAATGAATGAATCAATCATCATCTATGTATCTTTAACCTATTATCTATCATCTACCTATTTATCATCTATCTATATCTATCCATCTATCATCTGTCTTGCTCTGCCTCTCGGTCTCTCTAGTTCTCTTTGGAATCTCTGCAATTCATCCCCACATCTCCATCTTTCTATGTCCTTGTGTCTCTCCCTCAGGACTCTAATTTTAGTGCTTTTCTCTGTTCCCTTCCATTGTTCTCTCCACTTCTCTGCCCTCTTTTCTCCCTCTTTATGTGTCTGTGAGTCTCTCAATCTCCTTCCTCTGGCTCATTCTCTGTGTGTTTATGTCTTTGCTTTTTGGTGTCCCTGATTTCTCTCTGTGTCTCTCAGTGATCCTCTCATATGTGGGGTTATTTGGAATGTGAGCCTCAGAATCCAGTCTGGGGACCGCAAGTTCACACAGTATACAGGGGTTGATGTTCTGGGGCCATGATATCCTGGGACGATTACTCTCCATTGCATGGAAGGCAGAGGTGTCAGAATAAACACGGCATCTGTAGGTGCCAGAAGGCCTGAGGCCACAGGGCCCAACTCAGGCCAGAAATATGGGTGTCCTTGGGTTCTTCTGGTAGAGAACACTTTGTGGAAGTAAAACAGAAATGAAACTTCTAACCTGTGCCAGGTCTCTGAGCAAAGTCAGCATGGAAGGACACCTCTCTCTGGCACATGTCTGTCTGTGTCTCCTTTAACTCTTTCTGTCTTTTCTAACTCCCTGTATGGCCCCTGTGTCTGTCCTCTGTTATGACACCTGGTCTGTACTTGTGTCTCCTGTTTCTCTGTCTCTGTTGGTACAGACCTCACCAAGTTAGTCTCTCTCCATAAGAATACCAAGCTCATCTTCCTTATAACCACCTGGGCCTCCAAGTCGTGGATCATTCACTCTGTGTCCCAGTGACAATGAGAATAATGTCCAGACACTCTCACCTGTAATCACGATGTCCAGAGGGTCACTGGGAGCTGACAACTGATAGGGGGAATGAGGAACAGAACCGTAGCATCTGTAGGTCCCTGCAAGGTCTTGCGTCATGCGACCGATGGAGAAGTTGGCCTTGGAGACCCCATCATGGAGCTCTCCAGTGAGGCGCAAAGTGTCATTAAACGTCCCCTCTCTGTGCAGAAGGAAGTGCTCAAACATGACATCTGACCAACATTGCAGGATGACTGTCTCTTCTGATTTCACCAGGGGACCTGGGTGGGCCAGGAGGGAAGGTTTTCTGTGGACTCCTAGGAAGAGAGGTTGTGACTTTAGAAGGCATCTCTCTTTATCATCCCATCCATGGCACCTAGAATGAGTGAGGCTTCCCCTCGCTGGTGTCTTATCTCTCTCCTTCCTCTCTGTGTCTTCATGTTCTTTTCTGTGCCCATAACTCCTGGTACAGGTCCTTCCATCTGTCTCCCTCCCTCTTCTCTGTCCCTCTGTCTCTAGTAGCTCCTGATTCCCTTGCCGCTGGGCTCAGCCTCATCTCTTGGGCTGTTGTATCTATTTCGAACTAATGTCTTTCCTGCTTCTATGTGGGGGTGGAAGAGGAACCAGGATAGGCTGCACGTCCAGGCTCTTAGCAGACTGGTTCAATCTCTTTTGGACGATTTGGAATCCTTGGCAGAAGGTATGAACTGATCAGTAAGGCAGGCACCAGTGTCCACACACCCTGTTCCTGGTGGGGACTGGGAGCCACTCTTGCCATGCCTGTGCCTTCTCCATGGTGCCAGCTTCCATAGGCTGGCTTCTGGTGCTGGTTTGAGGAGTATCAACCCCTCCCTATGTGGATGGAGCCTGGTGGTGGCATCATCATCCCACCCTTGCTGATCTCGGTGTAGCCAACCTTCTCTTTGTTTGGTTTCTTTAATTAATTAATTAATTTTGGAGTCAGAGTCTCACTCCTTCACCCAGGCTGGAGTGAAGTGGTGTGGTCTAGGCTCACTGCAACCTCTGTCTCCTGGGTTCAAGTGATTCTCCTGCCCTCAGCCTCCTGAGTTGCTAGGATTACATGCACCTGCCACCACGCCCGGCTATCCTTGTGTCCTTTCTTATCTTGTCCTTGACCTGGGTTCCAGTGTTGGTTTCCTGTTGGTGCTGTGGAAAATTATCAGAAGCATGGCAGCAGGAGAGAGCACACTGACCCCTTCCGTTTCTGGAGACAGAAATCGGACCCTGTTTTTTGAGGGCTAAAATCAAGGCATCTGCAGGGCTGCGTTCCCTCTGGAGACCCAGGAGAATCAGTTCCTTGACTTTTCCAGCCTCTATAGGCCACCTGCATTCATGGCTCATGGCCTTCCTCCACCTTCAAAGCTGATGGAGACTTCCATTGCACTGCTCTAATCGCCACTCCCCTCTTCCTTCTCCTCTCATGTGCACCCTTGTGATTACACTGAGCCCAGCAGGACAGTCCAGGCTGTCTCCCCATCTCAAGGTCAACTCAACAACCTGAGCTCCATCTTCCCCTTCAGTGCCTTCCCCTATAACATAAATAGTCACAGACTGCAGGGATTAGAATGCAGTCATCATTGGGGACAATTATTCTTTCCACCACAGCACCCATTTCCCTGTATTCAATCCCCTTTTACCCCAAATACAGTTAGGGTCTGGATGATGGGACGCTGGTGGACACTCCCACCAGAAGCTCTGGGACTCAGGAGGTGGGACAAGGAGAATCCCAGACAGGAGCCCTCTGACCTGTGACCATGATCACCAGGGGGTTGCTGGGTGCTGACCACCCAGTGAGGAAGTGTGGGTGTGAACCCCGACATCTGTAGGTCCCTGCATGTGCTGGGGTCACAGGGCCTATGAAAACGGTGTTTCGGAATACTCTGTTGTAGAGCTCAGGGACAGGCATCCCGTCTTCTTTGGACAGACTGAATTCGTTAAACCCAAGACGAGAGCGACACTGAAGAGCCACATGTTCTCCTTCAGACACCACAGGGCTGGGCCAGGCAGAGAGGAAGGGCTTGTCCTGACCACCTGGGGGAGAAGGAGGCGCCACCTTAGAGAGGAGGATGTGGCACTCCCTCCCTCTATTCCTTTCCAGGACTCACCAACACACGCCATGCTGACGACCATGAGCGACATGGTGCTGCCGGTGCAGACAGGCGGCCGCGCCCCAGCTCAGCTCAGCAGCGCACAGGATGTTATTTGGCGCCCTGCCCATGCAGCTTACATGTTGACTACATCATGGGAGGGTGACGTACGCAGGCTCTTTCTACCTTGCATGAGGCCCAGTGGATGCTTGCTCAAGAGCGGAACACGGCTTCCTGGAAATTGTTCTCACTAGAATTGGCACCTCACGTCTTCACTATGACCAACTCACAACACGTCTCAGATCCAACCTCCCGAACACAAGATGCCTAAAATCTGTGCTAACGTGAAAGACTTTTCATGTATTTTTATCCGAACACGAGATGCCTAAAATCTGTGCTAACATGAAAGACTTTTCATGTATTTTTTTTGTTTTTATCTGAGATTCAAACTCTTCTTCCTGTGTAATATGCAAAGTATCTAATAGGTATTATTAATGTTTTCGGAGTCATTGTGACTAATAAACCATTAGAATTTTTCATGCTTGTATTTCTAGTATTACAGCAGAACCAGCTAAAATGATTTAAATTCCCAGGGAAGGATTATGCAATTATTTACAATCTTAGAATTGTACTTTATCAGCAAAAACCACACCTGTAAATTCTGGAGTTTTGTAGTTTAATCTAAAATTTGTCTCATGACCCAAGATTCCAGAGTCCCAACTCTGGAGTTTGCTCTCTGTCTGTCTCTCTCCCTCCCTCGTTTTAAATTTTACAGAAATATCCAGTAACATAATGCTATAGAAAATCAAGTTTTCCCCAGCACGTTGGGAAGCCGAGGTGGGCGGATCAACTGAGATAAGGAGTTTGAGAGCAGCCTGGCCAATATAGTGAAACCGTGTCTCTGTTAAAAATCCAAAAATTAGCCGTGCCTGGTGGCAGGCACCTGTAACGCCAGCTACTCAAGAGGCTGAGGCACGAGAATCGCTTGAACCTGGGAGGCGGAGGTTGCAGTGAGCTGAGATTGTGCCACTGCAGTCCAGCCTGGGCGACAGAGCAAGACTCCGCCTCAAGAAAAAAAAAGCAAACAGCCTATAATAACAAATTAGAGGGCTCTGGCTACTAAATTTAAAGGGTTCTATAAGGCTACATAAAGTGCAGCATCATCAAGAGTGTGGACACAGAGAGCCCCTTAGCAGAAACAGTGTCTAAAATACATCCATGTACACACAGTCCCTTTAGAGTTGACAAAGGCTGCCGTGTGGTTTAAGGTGGCATAGAATGTCTTCTCAATAAATAATATTAAACCAATTGGTTACACCTAGGAAAAAATAAATCTAACTCACACTATAAAAACACTTCTTAGTTTTTATCTAGTTGTACATTTTTTATGATTTATATTTAAATTTGAGAAATAAAAGTCATATACGGTCATCCTTCACTATTCGTGGGTGATTGGTTTTGAGATCTCCACTCAGATACCAAAATCTGTAGATGCTCAAGCCTCTTATATGAAATGGCACAGCGTTTGCAAATAACCTATGCACATCCTCCTGTATACATGAAATCATCTCTAGATTACTTATAATTCCTGATACAGCCTACACACAGCTTCATTTGTGTCCATTCAACATAGTTATGCTTTTTGAAACTCTGTGGATACTTTCTCTCAATATTTTTGATTTATACTTGGTTCAATAAACACCTGTAAACCCCGCAGATATGGAGGAGTGACCGTATATTTATATTATGAAAGATGATGTGTTGATATGTGTCCCCATGGAGATGAGACTAACAAGGCCTATGATTCTACAAATGTTTCATTGTGGAATGACTCTGCCAGCTTTCCAGGTCTGCAGAGAGTAAGAGTATCACTTGTTCATATGATTCGTGATCCTTGGAACCTCCTATGTGCTACATCTTTGGATGGAAATTGGAGTCCCAGAGACAAATGAGGCTCCACCCTGCTTCCAGAAACTCAGAGTCCGGGGATGAGAACTCAGTGGGGAACAGATGGGATTATATGGACATGGTACTGATAACACCGGAAGCCTTAGGCAAGAAAAGAGTCCCATTACCGAAACCATGGGGGCAGACATGTTTATTTGAAGGATGGAAAACTACATTGAAGTTATTTTAAAAAATATATAAGTTTTACTGCTGACAGAAGACTGAAAGCTAGTCTGAGGGGAGGTGGAACAGCATGAGGGAAGGTGGAACAACACGTGTCTAAGTGCTGCGTTAAGAGGGAGCCTCTTGTATGTTTGGAATTGTGAGTTCCTCAGTGTGATTGCAGCCTCAAGTAGACTAGGAAGTAAGCCAGTTAGGTTGGAGAGGTGGGCAGGGGTCAAGTGAAATGGAGAACTGTGGGCTAAGCAAAGGAGTGTGTTTTTTCTCCAGCAGGCAGTGGGGACCTTAGACATTTGTAAGCAAGTGAGAGGCACATTCAGATTTGTGGTGTGAGGAAGATCGATGCCCTAAGATGCAGACTCATGCCTTCAGATTCCAGCTGCTGGTACATGGGAGCTGGCAACCCGGTTTTGAGACAGGGCTGTTGTCTCCCTAGAAGACGCCCTCAAGGCCTGACTGTGGTGCTCATGGGCAGGAGACAACTTTGGATCTGGACTCAGCATTTGGAAGTTCCGTGTACACGATGATATCTGTTGGGGGTGTCTTGGGCCTCTGAGAAGGGCGAGTGATTTTTCTCTGTGTGAAAACGCAGTGATTCAACTGTGTGTATGTCACCTCCTGAGGGTCTTGTTCATCAGAGTCCTGGAGAGAGGGAAATGCTGAGTGAGGGAGGGTGCTCACATTTTCCAGGACTCTTTGGGAATAACAGTAGCCACGAGCCCGGGCCGAGGAGTACCTACCTCGCTATTCGCTGTTCTGTTTCCTGCAGACTCTTGGTCCATTACCGCAGCATCTGTAGAAGACGGAAGTCAACAAAACAGCTCGGAGGGCACTTCTGGGTCCTCATTTCATAAGCAGATACCAACATACAGGGGGAGACCATAGGTGGCTGAGGTCCCTCAGTTGCCAACAGCAGACTCAGACATTCTATCTCTCTGAGCTCAAGGACCCATCCCATGAATAGCTCTGAGTTCCCATCCCATTGATTCTGTCTCCCACTTTCTGCCTGTCATGGAACCTTCTCCTGGATGTGAGTGGCTGCAGGGGACATGAGGATACAGTTCAGAATCAGGCAACGGTCTGTGAGTTGAAGGCAGGGACAGGGAGTCTGGTGCCCTCTCTAGAAAGTCCTGCCTCTGTGGCTGCTGCCTTGGGCCAGGGACCATCCTGTTTGTGAGGAACACACACCTGAGTGCTCCCATCCTGCTTCCCCACATGGCCCTGAGCTCTCTGGCCTCTGCTTCGTGAGACTTACTTTTTTTGTTGGAGCACCAGCGATGAAGGAGAAAGAAGAGGAGGATGAAGAGGATGATGACCACTGAGGTCCCAATCAGAATGTGCAGGTGTCGGGGGTTACCTGGAAGAAGATGAGACACCAATAAGAAGCTAATCTTAGCAGTTCCTCTTTATGAATTGTCTCGCATTTCTTGATTGACAGGTAACCACATAAAACACCTCTTTAGGACAAGCACCCAGATGGCAGGAGACCCAGCTTTCTCCTGCTTTTTCAGTTATAGCTCTCATAGTAACCATAGAACGTGCTGAGGATACGACTACTTTAGTTGAGATGTTTGACCCCTTCAAACCTCACATTGAAATTTCACCCCCACTGTGGGAGGTTGGGCCTCTTGAGAGGTGTTTGGGTCATGGAGGTGGATCCATCATGAACACATCAATGCTGTCCCAAGGAGACGGGGTTAGCAAGTTCCCCCTCTATTAGTTCCCGGAGAGCTGGTTGTTAAAAAGAGCTTGGAAGCTCCATCACTCCCCCTCCCCCTTGCTCCCTCTCTTGCCGTGTGATCTCTGTGGTCTCTGCACAGACAGACCCTCCTTCCCTTCTGCCAGAGTGGGAGCAGCCTGAGGCCGTCACGAGAAATAGATGCTGGTGCCATGCTTCCAGTACAGCCTGCAGAACGGTGAGGCAAACCAATCTCTTTTCTTTAGAAGTTACCGAGGCTCAAGTGTTCCTTTAGAGCAACAAAAATGGCCTAAGACAGCAACTTCCTGAGATCAGGAGGAACGTCTCAGAACACCCTGGGCTGTCTTCCTGTTCTTCCTGGAGGACGTCATGCAGTGCTTTAGCTGAGTGCTTCCTGTGGCTCCAGGGTACAAAACCCAGGCTGGGCTGCTTTCTGGCTTCCCCCAGCTACACTGCAAATGGGGTGACTCCATATGTCCCGAGCAGCTTTTCTGAGCCTTGAGGGACTGGGTCACATTGAAATATAGGTTTCTGTTGTCACTCGCTGCTTATCTGTTAGTAATGAACCTGCCTATGTAACGTATTCTCTGTGTGTTCTGTCTCCCTGGAGTGACGGTGAGTGATAGGAATTGGCATAGGCCCAGGTGCAGTCCAGGAGGTGTTTAGAGTCTTCTCTGGGAAGACTGGACTGGGATTGATTCACAGCGAATGTGCTTTAGGGTTTCTACATCCACAGCATTCTTGAATCAAACAACTTGCATTCTCCAAGGAAAGAAAACAAAAGTGAAATCAAGATAAAAAAAGCGAAATAGAATTCTCTTATGTCAAACGGCCAGGAAATAGTGTTGAAGCCCGTGTGAAACCTGCTGCTCTTTGTGATCTCGGGAGACACATATTAGGCTGCTGTTCTACCCGAGAGGCTGGGGGAAGGACCACCCCCTCGGCCATCTATTGCTTCAAAACCACCTGTCCTCCTGTGAATTAGTAGGAAAGGGGAGCAGGAGCTAGTGCTGTCGCTGATCTCTGATTCCAAGATCTGGACTCACTCCAAGGAGTGTTAATGTTTACCTCCCCATGGTCTATCTGAATCTCCACAGGTGATTGGAAGTAGGGGTGAGGTGGGGGATTTGGGTGAGTGGGCAAGTTTTTTTTGTGATGACCAGAGCACTTTCTCTATTCCAGGATCTGTGCTGGAGGATTCAGCGGGCTTTCACATTTTCTATATGATCTCATGCTCACAGAAAGCCAAATAGGGAAGAGGTTTTAGGCTCATTGCCTAATGGATAAGATAAAGGATCAAAGAAGTAATTATAGAGAAATAGAAAAATCATGATTGGAATTCAGGTGCCTTTGTCATTCGTGTGTGTTTTATTATATTTATGTATTTCTTATTTTTATTTTTTGAGATAGAGTCTCCTTGTGTCCCCCAGGCTGGAGTGCAGTGATGCAATCTCCACTCACTGCAACCTCCACCTACTGGGTTGAAGTCATTCTCCTGCTTCATCCTCCAGAATAGGAGCTGGGATTACAGGGATGCACCATCGTGCTCGGCTAATTTTTGTATTTTTAGTAGAGATAGGGTTTCACCACGTTGGCCAGGCTGGTCTGGAACTCCTGACTTCATGGAATCCACCCACCTTGGCCTCCTGCAGTGCTAGGTTACAGGTGTGAGCCACTGTTCACAGACTTGTATATTATGCTATAATAAGTCTCTTCATTTCCACCACCACTCATATATCTGTCACTCCTTTGCCAGGTATTGATTTATGTGTAGGATGAATAAATCTCAGAAAGAAATTAATTAAGTGAGGATTAAACAAGTAGGAAAATCAAACCCAGTAAGCCTTTCCAGTCAATGATTCTACCTCACAAACATATCTTATATCCATCTACTTCATTCATTTAGTGTCTAAATCAGCACCACATTTCACCAGTGGGGCGGCAATTGCCTTTTCCACGGTCTCCTAGATTCCAGTTATGCACCTGGGCCTCCCTTATTTTCATGTCAGTCATATTAATCATGTAGGGATTCCTGGTTACCCCGAGGTGAATCCAATGGCTGTGAGTGTCAAGCACACACTCCTTGTTCCTCCTTAGTTTCCTGTGTACCCAGTGTGCTCTCCGTCTCTCTACAGTCGTCTTGTCATTCTCCCCACCTCATTCCCAGCATTTGAGTCAGAGCCTCTTCCTTCCACATCAGATTGTTTTCACCTTTGTGCCTTCATGGCTGACAGCTGTGTGTGCAAAATCCTTCCGCCAATCTTTCAGGGGTTCATTCCGTGTTTTTCATTAATGTCACAAATATCTGAATAGTGAGACCTTCTTTGTCACCTGAAATCATACACTCAGCATTATCTATTATTGATTTTGAATTCTGGCTGGGCACAGTGGCTCACGCCTGTAGTCCCATTACTTTGGCATGCTGAGACGGTCGGATCACTTGAGGTTGGGAGTTTCAGACAAGCTTGGCCAACGTGGTGAAACATCCTCTCTACAAAAAATATACAAAAAGAATTAGCCGGGCACGGTGGCAGTTGCCTGTAATCCCAGCTACTCGAGAGGCGGAGGCAGGAGAATCCCTTGAATCCAGGAGACGCAGGTTGCAGTGAGCCAAGATCGTGACACTGCACTGTAGCCTGGAAGACAGAGGGCGACTCTGTCTCAATAAACAAAAGAACAAACAAAAAATAGATTTCATGCACAGATGCTTCCCAATGGACCATTCATTTATAGATCCACTTGTGCGTTCATTTTCTGCCCTCCCATTTAACCATCTGCAATATCAGTGTCCCAAGGGCAGAGGCCAAATGCATCTTGTTCACTGTTTGTGGAAGGCAGGAGAATGCTGTCCCACCCCAAAATGTCCCTGTCCTAGCCTCCACAGCTTGTGAATATGTTATTTTACATGGAAAGGAGGAATGAAGATTGCAGATGGAATTATGGTTGCTAATCAGCTGAACTTAAAACAAGGGTATCCTGGATGATTTCCAGGAGATTATGAGGGATTTTCATCTTGGTGAACCCAATAGAATCCCCAAGTTTTCAAAAGATGAGGAAGAAGGGAGAGCAGCACTCAGAGAAAGAGGTGTGGTAAGGAAGAAGGCACTGAGTGATGCCATGTGAGATGTGACCAGTCTTTGTGGGCTTTGAGGAAGGAGGAAGGGGACCAGGAGCCAAGGAACTGGGAGCCTTTAGAAGCTGGGACAAGTGAGAAGCAGATTCGTGCCTGGAATCCTCAGAGGGAAGGCAGCCTTGCTGTCACCTTGATTTTAGCCCAGTAAGATGCACTTCCTACTTTGAGCTACAGCACTGTAAGATAATTAAAAAACCGTTTTGTTTTCACCCACGAATCTTGTGGAAATTTGTTATGGCAACAATAGGAAAAGGTTCCACACTGCACAGCCTGAGCATGGGGCCGTGGCTGAATGAGTCAGTGAGTCGAAGTGTGCGTGCATGAGCTCTGTTCTCTGTTACGGCAAGGCTCTTTCTCTGCGGAGTCAGCCAGGGTTGCTTCATGACCTACAGGAGCTCATTCCTTGGCAAGTGGAACTTCTCTAAAACACCTTGCCCTCATCAGATGTTCCCTTCCCTTCCCTCTCTCAAGTCTCCAGGAATTTATCCTCCAGTTAGGAATGCAGGTAGAACAAACATTGCATTTTTCCTGAGAAGGATGTCAGATTGGCAATCATTCTTCTAGCTTGTAGGAGGTCTCAGCTCCATAAAATGAGAGATGAAGAGATTTCACTGAGCCCTGTGTTGGGCCCAGATCCCTTTCGCTGTAGGAGTATCTGGAGTTCGGAGATGGTGGAAGACAAGTGTACAATGTCAGAGCTGTGAGATGCTGAGTCAACGCCTGAATCCAAGGTTCCCACCTCCCCAGGGTTCCAAAAGCGGATATAAGAGGGTTCTGTACTCACCGGTTTTGGAGCTTGGTTCAGTGGGTGAAGGCCAACTATTTGAAGGGTTTCCTAGAACATGAGACAGGAGAGAGGTGAGGAAATGAGGGTGTCTGTCCTCCACTCAGTGGAAATCTTTGAGGATGGTTCATGGCCAACACTCTCTTATCTAATATTGGGCCCTGGGAGTCCTGGGATCCTTTTTTCCATAATTTTTTTATATGACACCCACTGTCTTGAGACTTCAAGATATAAAGAGAAAACAGGAGCATCACACTACCTGATCTCAAAATATGTTACAGAGCTGTAGTAAGCAAAATAGCATGACATTGGCATAAAGAAAGGCACATAGAACAACGGAGCAGAATGAATAACACAGATATATTCCATGCATTTACATCCAATGGTTTTTTATTTTTTCTTTTGAGATGGAGTCTTGCTCTGTCACTCAGGCTGGAGTGCAGAGGTGCAATCTCGGTTCACTGCAACCTCAGCCTCCTGGGTTCAATCATTCTCTTGCCTCAAATTCCTGAGTAGTGGTATTACAGGTGCTGACCACCATGCTCAGCTAATTTTTATATTTTTAGTGGAGACGATGTTTCATCACGTTGGCCAGACTAATCTTGAACTCCTGGCCTCAGGTGATCCACCCACCTCGGGCTCCCAAAGTGCTGAAATTGCAGGTGTTAGCCACCAAGCCCAGCCCATCCAATGGACTTTGACAAAGATGCCAAGAACTCACAATCAGGAAAGGACAGTCTTTTCAATAAACAGTGCAGGGAAACCTGGACATCTACATGCAGAGGAATGAAACTGCAACTCTACCTGTCACCATACACAAAAATCAAATGAAAATGGATTAAAGATGTGAGTCTAAGGCCTGAACCTATGAAACACGTAGAACAAAATATTGGGGAAATGCTCCAGGACGTTTGTCTGAAGGAAGACATTTTGTTTTAAACCTTCAAAACACAAGTAATCGAAGCAAAAATAGACCATTGGGATTACCTCAAACTAAGCAACTTCAGCACTGCTAAAAATAAACCAACAAAGTGAAGAGACAACCCACAGATTGGGAGCAAATATGTGCAAACTATGCATCTGAGATGGGATTAATAACTAGAAATATAAGAAGCTCAAACAACTCAATAAAACAAATGATTTAATTGAAAAAGGAGCAAAAGACATGAAATTTCCCCACATACGAAAAAGTGCTCAGTATCACTCATCATCAGAGAAACGCAAATTAAAATCAAAGTGAGTTTTCATCTCACCCCATTAAAATGGCTTTTAGGCCGGGTGAGGTGGCTCACTTGTGTCATCCTAGAACTTTGAGAACCTGAGGTGGGTGAATCTCATAAGGTTGGGAGTTTGAGACCAGTCTGACCCACATAGAGAAACGCTGTCTCTACTAAAAATACAAAAATTAGTAGGGCGTGGTGGCGTGTGCCTGTAATTCCAGCTACTCGGGAGGCTGAGGCAGGAGAATCGCTTGAACCTGGGAGGTGGAGGTTGTGGTGAGCCGAGATAGCGCCACTGCACTCCAGCCTGGGTGAGAAGAGCAAAACTCCATCTCAAAATAAAATGAAATAAAATAAAATGGCTTTTAGCTGCAAGACAGGCAAAAGAAATGCTGGCAAGGTGGTAGAGAAAGGAGAACCCTGGTACCCTGTTGGGAGGAGTGTAAATTAGTACAGCCATTACGGAGAAAAGTATGGAAGTCCTTTAAAGAACTAAAAAGAGGTTGGGTGAGGTGGATCATGCCTGTAATCCCGGCACTTTGGGAGACTGAGGCGGGCACCTCAGTTGAGGTCATGAGTTTGAGAGCAGCCCAGCCAACATGGGGAAACCGCATCTATACTAAAAAAACCAAAAAGTAGCCAGGCATGGTGGTGTGCACCTGTAATCCCAGCTACTAGGGAGGCTGAGGCAGGAAAATCATTTGAACCCAGGAGGCGGAGGTTGCAATGAGCCAAGGTTGCACCACTTTGACTCCAGCTTGGGCTAAGGAGGGAAACTCTTTCTCAAAAAAGAAAAAAAAAAAAAAAAAGAGAACTTTCATAGTATCCAGCAATTTCACTACTGGGTTTATATCCAAAGGAAAGTAAATCAACATATCGAAGTGATATCTGCACTCGTATGATTGGTGCAGCACTGTTCACAGTAGCCAAGATGAGGAGTCAACCTACCTGCCCATCAGTGGGTGAATGGATAGAGAGAATGTAGTACATACGCACAGTGGAGACTACTCATCCATAGAAAGAATAACATCCTGTCATTTGCAGCCACATGGATGGAACTGGAGGTCATTAAAAAGATTCCCATTTCTCACCCATATACAGGAGCTAAAAGGTGGATCTCATGAAGGTAGAGAGTAGAATGGTGGCTACTGGAGGACAGGAAGAAAAGGGTGGAGGGTAAAAAAAATGTATATATATATATATATAAAAATGTATTTATGACCACTAGACTTTACACTTAAAAATGGTAAATGTGGCTGGGCCTGGTGGCCCATGCCTGTAATCCCAGCACTTTGGGAGGCTGATGCGGGTGGATCACGTGGTCAGGAGTTCGAGACCAGCTCGACCAACATGGTGAAACCACCTCTCTACTAAAAATACAAAAAGTAGCCTGGCGTGGTGGTGCGTGCCTGTAGCACTAGCTACTCAGGTGGCTGAGGCAGGAGAATCGCTTGAACCCAGGAGGCGGAGGTTGCAGTGAGCTGAGATTGTGCCACTGCACTCCATCATAGGGGACAGAGCTAGACTCCACCTCAAAAAAAAATGTTAAAAGTGGTAAGCTATATAGGTATATTTATCCTCAATAAATATTTCTTCAAAGAAAAGTAAAGGGTGTAGGGGTTGCTGGTGATGACATCTCTGTGTGGGTGAGAGGCCAGGATGGGCTTCTGGGAAATGGGTAAGGTTGAGGGGCTGAGGGAACCTCTGATCTCCCCAAACTGAGCCCAGTCTCCCTCCTCTGGGTCTCTCCTGACCGCTTTCTCCATCTGCCTGGGTGCCTGGAGCCCTGGCCGTGGGCCTCCATGCAGGCCATGTAGGAGGGTTTGGAGGTGCCCTGTCGGCCATCCTGTGCCCTGATCCCTCCCTCACACCGAGGCTGCGTCTTCTCTCTGCATCTGTCCATGCTTCTCTCCATCCTCAGCAGGAAGCTCCTCAGCTAAGGCTCTAGGATCATAGGACATGGGACAGCCATGGGCTTTCCTCACCTGTGACAGAAACAAGCAGTGGGTCACTTGACTTTGACCACTCGTATGGAGAGTCATGGAAAGAGCCGAAGCATCTGTAGGTCCCTCCGTGGGTGGCAGGGCCCAGAGGAAAGTCAGCCTGGAATGTTCCGTTGACCTTGGGCCCTGCAGGGAGCCTACGTTCATGGGCCTCCCCTTCCCTGGATAGATGGTACATGTCATAGGAGCTCCGGGAGCTGCAGGACAAGGTCACATTCTCTCCTGCCAGAACCGTGGGGCCCGGCTGGGCTGAGAGAGAAGGTTTCTCATATAGACCTGGAAGGAGAAGAGGCAGTTTCCTCAGGGAGGATCTTCTTTGTCACAGCTCCCTTCACCTGAGCTGAGAACTCACTCCCCTGTTCTATGACCTAATGCTCTCTCTCTCTCTCTCTCACCCTCTACCCCATCGCTCTTCATGTCTATTTCCTCCTTCCACCTTCTCTGTCTCTCTAGGTCTCTGACCTCACTTCCCCACCTCTAGATATGTTTTCTCTTTTTGGATTGTTTTATTCTCTCTGACTCTCCTTGGATTGGTTGACTTGATGTTACTTTTTTTAATTCTGAGTTTCTCACTTTGTGTCCTGTTCATAACTTTCTGCATATTTCTATCTATTATCTATCGATCTATCTATTTATCTATTCGGTGCCTATCTACAAATTCTCTACCTGTCATCTATATCTATATATCATCTATTTATCCATCAATTGTCTATCTATCCATCAATCATCTATTATCTATATCTATGTATCATCTCTCTCTCTCTATGATTTCTCTATGTCTGCCTCTGTATCTCTATGTATTATCTATCTATCTGTCTTCATCATCATCATCTCTATGTCTCATCTATTAATGAATCAATCAATCATCATCTATGTATCTATAACCTATTATCTATCATCTACCTATTTATCATCTATCTATATCTATCCATCTATCATCTGTCTTGCTCTGCCTCTCGGTCTCTCTAGTTCTCTTTGGAATCTCTGCAATTCATCCCCACATCTCCATCTTTCAATGTCCTTGTGCCTCTCCCTCAGGAGTCTAATTTTAGTGCTTTTCTCTGCTCCCTTCCATCATTCTCACTTCTCTGCCCTCTTTTCTCTCTCTTTATGTGTCTGTGAGTCTCTCAATCTCCTTCCTCTGGCTCATTCTCTGTGTGTTTATGTCTTTGCTTTTTGGTGTCCCTGATTTCTCTCTGTGCCTCCCACTGATCCTCTCATAAGTGGGCTTATTTGGAATATGAGCCTCAGAATCCAGTCTGGAGACTACAAGTTCACACAGCATACAGGGGTTGGTGTTGTGGGGCCATGATATCCTGGGACGATTACTCTCCATTACATGGAAGGCAGAGGTGTCAGAATAAACATGGCATCTGTAGGTGCCACAAGGCCTGAGGCCACAGGGCCCAACTCAGGTCAGAAATATGGGTGTCCTTGGGTTCTCCTGGTAGAGAACACTTTGTGGAGGTAAAACAGAAATGAAACTTCTAACCTGTGCCAGGTCTCTGAGCAAAGTCAGCATGGAGGGACACCTCTCTCTGGGACATGTCTGTCTGTGTGTCTCCTTTAACTCTTTCTGTCTTTTCTAACTCCCGGTATGGCCCCTGTGTCTGTTCTCTGTTATGACACCTGGTCTGTACTTGTGTCTCCTGTTTCTCTGTCTCTGTTGGCACAGACCTCACCAAGTCAGTCTCTCTCCATAAGAATACCAAGCTCATCTTCCTTACAGCCACCTGGGTCTCCAATTCCTGGATCATTCACTCTGCATCCCAATGACAATGAGAAGAAAGTCTGGACACTCTCACCTATGATCACGATGTCCAGAGGGTCACTGGGAGCTGACACCTGATAGGGGGAGTGAGTAACAGAACCGTAGCATCTGTAGGTCCCTGCCAGGTCTTGCGTCATGCGACTGATGGAGAAGTTGGCCTTGGAGACCCCATCATGGTGTTCTCCAATGAGGCGCAAAGTGTCGTTAAACATCCCCTCTCTGTGCAGAAGGAAGTGTTCAAACATGACATCTGACCAACATTGCAGGATGACTGTCTCTTCTGATTTCACCAGGGGACCTGGGTGGGCCAGGAGGGAAGGTTTTCTGTGGACTCCTAGGAAGAGAGGTTGTGAGTTTAGAAGGTGTCTCTCTTTATCATCCCATCCATGGCACCTGGATTGAGTCAGGCTTCCCCTTCCTGGTGTCTTATCTCTCTCCTTCCTCTCTGTGTCTTCATGTTCTTTTCTGTGCCCATAACTCCTGGTGCAGGTCCTTCCATCTGTCTCCCTCACTCTTCTCTGTCCCTCTGTCTCTAGTAGCCTCTGATTCCCTTGCCGCTGGGCTCAGCCTCATCTCTTGGGCTGTTGTATCTATTTCGAACTAATGTCTTTCCTGCTGTCTATGTGGGGGTGGAAGAGGAACCAGGATAGGCTGCACATCCAGGCTCTTAGCAGCCTGGTTCAATCTCTTTTGGACGAATTGGAATCCTTGGCAGGAGGTATGAACTGATCAGTAAGGCAGGCACCAGTGGCCACACACCCTGTTCCTGGTAGGGACTGGGAGCCACTCTTGCCATGCCAGTGCCAGCTTCCATAGGCTGGCTCCTGGTGCTGGTTGGAGGAGTATCAACCGCTCCCTATGTGGATGGAGCCTGGTGGTGGCATCATCATCTGAGCCTTGCTGATCTCAGTGTAGCCAACCTTCTCCTTGTTTGGTTTCTTTAATTAATTAATTAATTTTGGCGACAGAGTCTCACTCCTTTGCCCAGGCTGGAGTGAAGTGGTGTGGTCTAGGCTCACTGCAACCTCTGTCTCCTGGGTTCAAGTGATTCTCCTGCCCTCAGCCTCCCAAGTCGCTAGGATTACATGCACCTGCCACCATGCCTGGCTATCCTTGTGTTGTTTCTTAACTTGTCCTTGACCTGGGTTCCAGTGTTGGTTTCCTGTTGCTGCTGTAGAAAATTATCAGAAGCATGGCACCAGGAGAGAGCACACTAACCCCTTCCAATTCTGGAGACAGAAATCGGACCCTGTTTGTCGTGGGTAAAATCAAGGCACCTGCAGGGCTTCGTTCCCTCTGGAGACTCAGGAGAATCAGTTCCTTGACTTTTCCAGCCTCTATAGGCCACCTGCATTCATGGCTCCTGGACTTCCTCCACCTTCAAAGCTGGTGGAGTCTCCCATTGCGCTGCTGTAATCCCCACTCCCCTCTTCCTCCTCCTTTCATGTGGACCCCTGTGACTACACTGAGCCCATCAGGACAGTCCAGGCTGTCTCCCCATCTCAAGGTCAACTCATCAACAACCTGAGCTCCATCTTCTCCTTCAGTCCCTTCCCCTATATCATAAATAGTCACAGACTCCAGGGATTAGAATGTAGTCATCACTGGGGACAATTATTCTTCCCACCACAGCACCCATTTCCCTGTATTCAATCCCCCTTTACCCCAAATACAGTCAGGACTTGCATGATGGGACCCGCAAGGACACGCCCACCAGGAGCTCTGGGATTCAGGAGGTGGGACAAGGAGAATCCCAGACAGGAGCCCTCTGACCTGTGACCGTGATCTCCAGGGGGTTGCTGGGTGCCGACCACCCACTGGGGTAGTGTGGTTGTGAACCCCGACATGTATAGGTCCCTGCGTGTGCTGGGGTCACAGGGCCCATGAAAAGGCTGTTCCAGAATATTATGTTGTAGAGCTCAGGGACAGGCACCCCATCTTCCTTTTACAGACTGAAGTTGTTAAACCCAAGATAAGAATGACACTGAAGAATCACATGTCCTGGAGGCACCACAGGGCTTGGCCAGGCAGACAGCAAGGGCTTGTCCTGACCACCGTGGGGAGAAGGAGGCACCGCCTTAGAGAGGAGGATGTGGAGCCGCCCCTCCCTCCCTGTGCTCTGAAGATTCTCCTCGCTTTCCAAGTTTCTATGGCTGCTATCACACCTTGGTGCCCAGGGCTAAAGGAAGGACCCATCCCGCAAACACAAGGTGTCTCCCTACAACAAAAGTGTCAGCTGAGAACTTTGAGCAAGTGCTGAGTAAGAGACTCCTACTAGATTTTAATACTGTAAGATTACTCACATAAAACAACACAGGGTAGACATGGGGTGGAGGGCATGTCCTTTGAGAATGGAATATCAGCCGATGCCTGAACGAAAATAAACAACTGAGTCCCCATCAGAGGATTGGAATGTCAGGGCCATGGCTGTGGTTTTCCCACCTCTTCTGGTAGAATGACAGCAGCCACACTGCAGCCCCTACCGTCATGGAAACGCTGAAGTGTGTGAGTAACACCTTTGTCCTCAGAGGATCTGCTGTTCCTACCACTTCCCCACCACACACCCCAGCTTTGAGCACCGTAGTCTAACCCTGGTCCCCACAGAACTTGACTCTGCCAAGGGAATGAAAGGCCAGGGAGGCAAGGTCAGAAATGTGGGCCCAGCACCCCAGGGTCCCTTCTTCCTAGTTTATGAGAGACTCCCTGACAGGACTTCCCTCCCATTTCAGGAAAATCCTCTTATGTGGGGAGATGACACCCGAAGGTTTGGAGAAGGACTCACCCTCATGTGGCCAGGCCCCCTGCAGCAAGAAGAACCCTGGAAAGAAAGATCATGATGGATGACCCATCTGCAGGCAAACCAGGGCACCCTTGCTGCCCCCACTGGGCTGTGAGTCTTGGTAGCCAGGCCCTTCCTGGGCTGAAGGTAAACTCACCCTCAGTGCCTACCTGCACCCAAGAACAGGGCTGTCGGCTGTGCAGAGACCCAGCCTCCAGGTCCATATCCCCACCTCAAGCCCATATCTCCACTCCAGGCCCATATCTCCACTCCAGGCCGATATTTCCACCCTAAGCCCATATCGCCAATCCAGGCCCATATCTCCAATCCAGGCTCAGATCTCCACCCTGGGCCCATATCTCCAATCCAGGCCCTTATCTCCACTCCAGGTCCATATCTCCTCTCCAGTCCCATATCTCCACTCCAGGCCCATATATCCTCTCCAGTCCCATATCTCCACACCCAGGCCCGTATCTCCATCCTAGGCACATATCTCCTCTCCAGGCCCAGATATCGACCTCTAGGCCCATATCTCCACTCCTGGCCCATATCTCCACTCCAGGCCCAGATATCGACCTCTAGGCCCATATCTCCACTCCTGGCCCATATCTCCACTCCAGGCCCATGTCTCCACTTCAGGCCCATATCTCTACTGCAGGCCCGTAACTCCACCTCCAGGCCCATGACTCCACTCCAGGCCCATATCTCCACCTCCAGGCCCATATCTCCCCTCCAGGTTCCTATCTCCCCTCCAGGTTCCTATCTCCACTCCAGGCCCAGATCTCCACTACAGTCCCATCACTCCACCTCCAGGCCTATATCTCGACCTCTGGGCCCAGATCTCCACTTCTAGGCCCATCACTCCATCTCTAGGCCCATATATCCACTCCAGGCCCAGATCTCCACTCCAGGCCCATAACTCCACCTCCAGGCCTATATCTCCACCTCTGGGCCCAGATCTCCATCCCCTCACTCCCTCCCTCTATTGCTTTCCAGGACTCACCAACACACGCCATGCTGACGAACAAGAGCGACATGGTGCTGCCGGAGCAGACAGGCAGCCGCGACCGAGCTCAGCTCAGCAGCGCACAGGATGTTATTTGGCGCCCTGCCCATGCAGTTTACATGTTGACCACATCATGGGAGGGTGACGTACGCAGGCTCTTTCTACCTTGCATGAGGCCCAGTGGGTGCTCGCTCAAGAGCGGAACACGGCTTCCTGGAAATTGTTCTCGCTAGAATTTGACACCTAGTGTCCTTCACTATGACCAACTCAAAACACGTCTGAGATCCAACCTCCCGAACACGAGATGCCTAAAATCTGTGCTAACATGAAAGACTTTTCATGTATTTCTATTGTTTTTATCTGAGATTCAAACTCTTCTTCCTGTGTAATATGCAAAATATCTAATAGGTATTATTAATGTTTTCAGAGTCATTGTGACTAACAAACCATTAGAATTTTTCATGCTTGTATTTCTAGTATTACAGCAGAACCAGTTAAAATGATTTAAATTCCCAGGGAAGGATTATGCAATTATTTACAATCTTAGAATTGTACTTTATCAGTAAAAACCCCACCTGTAAATTCTGGAGTTTTGTAGTTTAATCTAAAATTTGTCTCATGACCCAAGATTCCAGAGTCCCAACTCTGGAGTTTGTTTTCCGTCTGTCTCTCTCCCTCCCTCATTTTAAATTTTACAGAAATATCCAGTAACATAATGCTATAGAAAATCAAGTTTCCCCAGCACGTTGGGAAGCCGAGGTGGGCGGATCAACTGAGATAAGGAGTTTGAGAGCAGCCTGGCCAATATAGTGAAACCGTGTCTCTGTTAAAAATCCAAAAATTAGCCGTGCCTGGTGGCAGGCACCTGTAACGCCAGCTACTCAAGAGGCTGAGGCACGAGAATCGCTTGAACCTGGGAGGCAGAAGTTGCAGTGAGCTGAGATTGTGTCACTGCAGTCCAGCCTGGGCGACAGAGCAAGACTCCGCCTCAAGAAAAAAAAGCAAATAGCCTATAATAACAAATTAGAGAGCTCTGGCTACTAAATTTAAAGGGTTCTATAAGGCTACATAAAGTGCAGCATCATCAAGAGTGTGGACACAGAGAGCCCCTTAGCAGAAACAGTGTCTAAAGTACATCCGTGTACACACAGTCCCTTTAGAGTTGACAAAGGCTGCCGTGTGGTTTAAGGTGGCATAGAATGTCTTCTCAATAAATAATATTAAACCAATGGGTTATACCTAGGAAAAAATAAATCTAACTCACACTATAAAAACACTTCTTAGTTTTTATCTAGTTGTACATTTTTTATGATTTATATTTAAATTTGAGAAATAAAAGTCATATACGGTCATCCTTCACTATTCCTGGGTGATTGGTTTCGAGATCTCCACTCAGATACCAAAATCTGTAGATGCTCAAGCCTCTTATATGAAATGGCACAGAGTTTGCAAATAACCTATGCACATCCTCCTGTATACATGAAATCATCTCTAGATTACTTATAATTCCTGATGCAGCCTACACACAGCTTCATTTGTGTCCATTCAACACAGTTCTGCTTTTTGTAACTCTGTGGATACTTTCTCTGAATATTTTTGATTTATACTCGGTTCAATAAAGAACTGTAAACCCCACAGATATGGAGGAGTGACTGTATATTTATAGTGTGAAAGATGATGTGTTGATATGTGTCCCTGTGTAGATGAGACTAACAAGGCCTATGACTCTACAAATGTTTCATCTTGGAATGACTCTGCCAGATTTCCAGGTCTGCAGAGAGTAAGAATATCACTTGTTCATGTGATTCACGATCCTTGGAACCTCCTATGTGCTACATCTTTGGATGGAAATAGGAGTCCCAGAGACAAATGAGGCTCCACCCTGCTTCCAGAAACTCAGAGTCCGGGGGTGAGAACCCAGTGGAGAACAGATGGGGTTATGTGGACATGGTAATGATAACACTGGAAGTCTTAGGCAAGAAAAGAGTCCCATTACCGAAACCATGAGGGCAGACATGTTTATTTGAAGGAGGGAAAACTACATTGAAATTATTTTAAAAAATATATAAGTTTTACTGCTGACAGAAGGCTGAAAGATACTCTGAGGGGAGGTGGAACAGCATGAGGGAAGGTGGAACAGGACGTGTCTAAGTGCCGTGTTAAGAGGGAGCCTCTTGTATGTTTGGAACTGTGAGTTCCTCAGTGTGATTGCAGCCTCAAGTAGACTAGGAAGTAAGCCAGTAAGGTTGGAGAGGTGGGCAGGGGTCAAGTGAAATGGAGAATTGTGGGCTAAGCAAAGGAGTGTGTTTTCTCTCCAGCAGGCAGTGGGGACCTTAGACATTTGTAAGCAAGAGAGAGGCACATTCAGATTTGTGGTGTGAGGAAGAGCGATGCCCTAAGATGCAGACTCACGCCTTCAGATTCCAGCTGCTGGTACATGGGAGCTGGCAACCCGGTTTTGAGACAGGGCTGTTGTCTCCCTAGAAGATCCCCTCAAGGCCTGACTGTGGTGCTCATGGGCAGGAGACAACTTTGGATCTGGACTCAGCATTTGGAAGTTCCGTGTACACTCTGGTATCTGTTGGGGGTGTCTTGGGCCTCTGAGAAGGGCGAGTGATTTTTCTCTGTGTGAAAACGCAGTGATCCAACTGTACGTATGTCACCTCCTGAGGGTCTTGTTCATCAGAGTCCTGGAGAGAGGGAAATGCTGAGTGAGGGAGGGTGCTCACGTTTTCCAGGACTGTTTGGGAATAACACTAGCCACGAGGCTGGGCCGAGGAGCACCTACCTCGCTATTCGCTGTTCTGTTCCCTGCAGGCTCTTGGTCCATTACAGCAGCATGTGTAGGAGACGGAAGTCAACAAAAGAGCTCGGAGGGCACTTCTGGGTCCTCATTTCATAAGCAGATACCAACAAACAGGGGGAGGCCATAGGTGCCTGAGGTCCCTCAGTTGCCAACAGCAGACTCAGACATTCTATCTCTCTGAGCTCAAGGACCCATCCCATGAATAGCTCTGAGTTCCCATCCCATTGATTCTGTCTCCCACTTTCTGCCTGTCATGGAACCTTCTCCTGGATGTGAGTGGCTGCAGGGGACATGAGGATACAGTTCAGAATCAGGCAACGGTCTGTGAGCTGAAAGCAGGGACAGGGAGTCTGGTGCCCTCTCTAGAAAGTCCTGCCTCTGTGGCTGCTGCCTTGGGCCAGGGACCATCCTACCTGTGAGGAACACACACCTGAGTGCTCCCATCCTGCTTCCCCACATGGCCCTGAGCTCTCTGGCCTCTCCTTCGTGAGACTTACTTTTCTTGTTGGAGCACCAGCGATGAAGGAGAAAGAAGAGGAGGAGGATGAAGAGGATGATGACCACTGAGGTCCCAATCAGAACGTGCAGGTGTCTTGGGTTACCTGGAAGAAGATGAGACACCAATAAGAAGCTAATCATAGCAGTTCCTCTTTATGAATTGTCTCGCATTTCTTGATTGACAGGTAACCACGTAAAACACCTCTTTAGGACAAGCACCCAGATGGCGGGAGACCCAGCTTTCTCCTGCTTTCTCAGTTATAGCTCTCAAAGTAACCATAGAATGTGCTGAGGATACAACTACTTTAGTTGAGATGTTTGACCCCTTCAAACCTCACATTGAAATTTCACCCCCATTGTGGGAGGTTGGGCCTCTTGAGAGGTGTTTGGGTCATGGAGGTGGATCCATCATGAACAGATCAATGCTGTCCCAAGGAGACGGGGTTAGCTAGTTCCCCCTCTATTAGTTCCCAGAGAGCTGGTTGTTCAAAAGAACTTGGAAGCTCCATCGCTCCCCCTCCCCCTTGCTCCCTCTCTTGCCGTGTGATCTCTGTGGTCTCTGCACAGACAGACCCTCCTTCCCTTCTGCCAGAGTGGGAGCAGCCTGAGGCCATCACGAGAAATAGATGCTGGTGCCATGCTTCCAGTACAGCCTGCAGAACGGTGAGGCAAACCAATCTCTTTTCTTTAGAAGTTGCCCAGGCTCAAGTGTTCCTTTAGAGCAACAAAAATGGACTAAGACAGCAACGTCCTGAGATCAGGAGGAACGTCCCAGAGCAGCCTGGGCTGTCTTCCTGTTCTTCCTGGAGGAGGACGTCATGCAGTGCTTTAGCTGAGTGCTTCCTGTGGCTCCAGGGTACAAAACCCAGGCTGGGCTGCTTTCTGGCTTCCCCCAGCTACACTGCAAATGGGGTGACTCCATATGTCCCGAGCAGCTTTTCTGAGCCTTGAGGGACTGGCTCACATTGAAATGTAGGCTTCTGTTTTCACTCGCTGCTTATCTGTTAGTAATGAACCTGCCTATGTAACGTATTCTCTGTGTGTTCTGTCTCCCTGGAGTGACGGTGAGTGATAGGAATTGGCGTAGGCCCAGGTGCAGTCTAGGAGGTGTTTAGGGTCTTTTCTGGGAAGACTGCACTGGGATTGACACACAGCGAATGTGCTTTAGGATTTCTACATCCACAGCATTCTTGAGTCAAACAACTTGCGTTCTCCAAGGAAAGGAAACAAAAGTGAAATCAAGATAAAAAAGCGAAATAGAGTTATCTTATGTCCAACAGCCAGGAAATCGTGTTGAAGCCCCTGTGAAACGTCCTACTCTTTGTGATCTCGGGAGACACATGTTAGGCTGCTGTTCTACCTGAGAGGCTGGGGGAAGGACCACCCCCTCCACCATCTATTGCTTCAATACCACCTGTCCTCCTGTGAATTAGTAGGAAAGGGGAGCAGGAGCTAGTGCTGGTGCTGATCTCTCATTCCAAGATCTGGACTCACTCCAAGGAGTATTAATGTTTACCTCCCCATGGTCTATCTGAATCTCCACAGGTGATTGGAAGTAGGGGTGAAGTGGGGGATTTGAGTGAGAGGGCAAGTTTTTTTTGTGATGAACAGAGCACTTTCTCTATTCCACGATCTGTGCTGGAGGATTCAGCGGGCTTTCACATTTTCTATATGGTCTCATGCTCACAGAAAGCCAAATACGGAAGAGGTTTTAGGCTCATTGCCTAATGGATAAGACAAAGGATCAAAGAAGTAATTATAGAGAAATAGAAAAATGATGATTGGAATTCAGGTGCCTTTGTCATTCGTGTGTGTTTTATTATATTTATGCATTTCTTATTTTTATTTTTTGAGACGGAGTCTCCTTGTGTCACCCAGGCTGGAGTGCAGTGATGCAATCTCCACTCACTGCAACCTCCACCTCCTGGGTTGAAGTTGTTCTCCTGCTTCATCCTCAAGAGTAGGAGCTGGGATTACAGGGATGCACCACCATGCTCGGCTAATTTTTGTATTTTTCATAGAGACAGGGTTTCACCATTTTGGCCAGGCTGGTCTGGAACTCCTGACTTCAAGTGATCCACCCGCCTTGGCCTCCTGCAGTGCTGGGAATTGCCTTTTCCACGGCCTGAGCATGGGGCCGTGGCTGAATGAGTCAGTGAGTCGAAGTGTGCGTGCATGAGCTCCGTTCTCTGTTAAGGCAAAGCTCTTGCTCTGCTGAGTCAGCCAGGGTTGCTTCATGACCAACAGTAATTCATTCCTGGGCAAGTGGAACTTCTCTAAAACACCTTGCCCTCATCAAATGTTCCCTACCCTTCCCTCTCTCAAGCCCCCAGGAATTTATCCTCCAGTTAGGAATGCAGGCAGAACAAACATTGCATTTTTCCTGAGAAGGATGTCAGATTGCCAATCATTTTTCTAGCTTGTAGGAGATCTCAGCTCCATAAAATGAGAGATTAAGAGATTTCACTGAGCCCTGTTTTGGGTCCAGATCCCTTTCGCTGTTGGAGTATCTGGAGTTCGGAGATGGTAGAAGACAGGCGTACAATGTCAGAGCTGTGAGATGCTGAGTCAACGCCTGAATCCAAGGTTTCCACCTCCCCAGGTTTCCAAAAGCGGATATAAGAGGGTTCTGTACTCACCGGTTTTGGAGCTTGGTTCAGTGGGTGAAGGCCAACTATTTGAAGGGTTTCCTAGAACACGAGACAGGAGAGAGGTGAGGAAATGAGGGTGTCTGTCCTCTACTCAGTGGAAATCTTTGAGGTTGGTTCATGGCCAACACTCTGTTATCTAATATTGGGCCCTGGGAGTCCTGGGATCCTTTTTTCCGTAATTTTTGTATGTGACGGCTACTGTCTTGAGACTTCAAGGTATAAAGAGAAAACAGGAGCATCACACTACCTGATCTCAAAATATGTTACAGAGCTGTAGTAAGCAAGACAGCATGACGTTGGCATGAAGAAAGGCACATAGAACAACGGAGCAGAATGAATAACACAGATATAATCCATGCATTTACCTCCAATGTATTTTTTGTTTTTCTTTTGAGATGGAGTCTTGCTCTGTCACCCAGGCTGGAGTGCAGAGGTGCAATCTCGGTTCACTGCCACCACAGCCTCCTGGGTTCAATCACTTCTCTTGCCTCAAACTCCTGAGTAGTGGTATTACAGGTGCTGACCACCATGCTCAGCTAATTTTTATATTTTTAGTGGAGACGATGTTTCATCACGTTGGCCAGACTAATCTTGAACTCTTGGCCTCAGGTGATCCACCCACCTCGGGCTCCCAAAGTGCTGAAATTGCAGGTGTCAGCCACCATGCCCAGCCCATCCAATGGACTTTGACAAAGGTGCCAAGAACTCACAATCAGGAAAGGACAGTCTTTTCAATAAACAGTGCAGGGAAACCTGGACATCTACATGCAGAGGAATGAAACTGCACCTCTGCCTGTCACTATACACAAAAATCAAATGAAAATGGATTAAAGATGTGAGTCTAAGGCCTGAACCTATGAAACACGTAGAAGAAAATATTGGGGAAATGCTCCAGGACGTTTGTCTGAAGGAAGACATTTTGTTTTAAACCTTCAAAACACAAGTAATCGAAGCAAAAATAGACCATTGGGATTACCTCAAACTAAGCAACTTCTGCACCGCTAAAAATAAACCAACAAAGTGAAGAGACAACCCACAGATTGGGAGCAAATATGTGCAAACTATGCATCTGAGATGGGATTAATAACTAGAAATATAAGAAGCTCAAACAACTCAATAAAACAAATGATTTAATTGAAAAAGGAGCAAAAGACATGAAATTTCCCCACATACGAAAAAGTGCTCAGTATCACTCATCATCAGAGAAACACAAATTAAAATCAAAGTGAGTTTTCATCTCACCCCATTAAAATGGCTTTTAGGCCGGGCGTGGTGGCTCACGTCTGTCATCCTAGAACTTTGAGAGCCTGAGGTGGGTGAATCTCATAAGGTCGGGAGTTTGAGACCAGTCTGACCCACATGGAGAAACACTGTCTCTACTAAAAATACAAAAATTAGTCGGGCGTGGTGGCGTGTGCCTGTAATTCCAGCTACTCGGGAGGCTGAGGCAGGAGAATCGCTTGAACCTGGGAGGTGGAGGTTGTGGTGAGCCGAGATCGCACCACTGCACTCAGCCTGGGTGACAAGAGCGAAACTCCATCTCAAAATAAAATGAAATAAAATAAAATGGCTTTTAGCTGCAAGACAGGCAAAAGAAATGCTGGCAAGGTGTTAGAGAAAGGAGAATCCTGGTATCCTGTTGGTAGGAGTGTAAATTAGTACAGCCATTACGGAGAAAAGTGTGGAAGTCCTTTAAAGAACTAAAAAGAGGTTGGGTGAGGTGGATCATGCCTGTAATCCCGGCACTTTGGGAGACCGAGGCGGGCACCTCAGTTGAGGTCATGAGTTTGAGAGCAGCCCAGCCAACATGGGGAAACCGCATCTATACTAAAAAAAACAAAAAGTAGCCAGGCATGGTGGCGTGCGCCTATAATCCCTGATACTAGGGAGGCTGAGGCAGGAAAATCATTTGAACCCAGGAGGCAGAGGTTGCAATGAGCCAAGATGACATCACTTGTACTCCAGCCTGGGCACAGAGGGAAACTGTCTCAAAAACAAAAACAAAACAACAAACGAAAAACTAAAAAGAGAACTTTCATAGTATCCAGCAATTTCACTACTGGGTTTATATCCAAAGGAAAGTAAATCAATATATCGAAGTGATATCTGCACTCGTATGATTGGTGCAGCACTCTTCACAGTAGCCAAGATGAGGAGTCAACCTACCTGCCCATCAGTGGGTGAATGGATAGAGAGAATGTGGTACATTTGCATAGTGGAGACTACTCTTCCATAGAAAGAAAAACATCCTGATATTTGCAGCCACATGGATGGAACTGGAGGTCATTACAAAGATTCCCATTTCTTACCCATATACAGGAGCTAAAAGGTGGATCTCATGAAGGTAGAGAGTAGAATGGTGGCTACCAGAGGCCAGGAAGAAAAGGGTGGAGGGTAAAAAAAAATATGTGTATATATATATATATTAATGTATTTATGACCACTAGACTTTACACTTAAAAATGGTAAATGTGGCTGGGCGTGGTGGCTCATGCCTGTAATCCCAGCACTTTGGGAGGCTGATGCGGATGGATCACGTGGTCAGGAGTTCCAGACCAGCTTGACCAACATGGTGAAACCCCCTCTCTACTAAAAATACAAAAAGTAGCCTGGCATGGTGGTGCACGCCTGTAGCACCAGCTACTCAGGTGGCTGAGGCAAGAGAATCGCTTGAACCCAGGAGGCGGAAGTTGCAGTGAGCTGAGATTGTGCCAATGCACTCCAGCATAGGGGACAGAGCTAGACTCCGCCTCAAAAAAAAAATGTTAAAGGTGGTAAGCTATATAGGTATATTTATCCTCAATAAATATTTCTCAAACAAAAGTAAAGGGTGTAGGGGTTGCAGGTGATGACATCCCTGTGTGGGTGGGAGGCCAGGATGGGCTTCTGGGAAATGGGTAATGTTGAGGGGCTGAGGGAACCTCTGATCTTCCCAAACTGAGCCCAGTCTCCCTCCTCTGGGTCTCTCCTGACCGCTTTCTCCATCTGCCTGGGTGCCTGGAGTCCTGGCCGCAGGCCTTCATGCAGGCCATGTAGGAGGGTTTGGAGGTGCCCTGTCTGCCATCCTGTGCCCTGATCCCTCCCTCACACCCAAGCTTCGTCTTCTCTCTGCATCTGTTCATCCTTCTCTCCATCCTCAGCAGGAAGCTCCTCAGCTAAGGCTCTAGGATCATAGGACATGGGACAGCCATGGGCTTTCCTCACCTGTGACAGAAACAAGCAGTGGGTCACTCGAGTTTGACCACTCGTAGGGAGAGTCACGGAAAGAGCCGAAGCATCTGTAGGTTCCTCCGTGGGTGGCAGGGCCCAGAGGAAAGTCAGCCTGGAATGTTCCGTTGACCTTGGGCCCTGCAGAGAACCTACGTTCATGGGCCTCCCCCTCCCTGGATAGATGGTACATGTCATAGGAGCTCCGGGAGCTGCAGGACAAGGTCACGCTCTCTCCTGCCAGAACCGTGGGGCCCGGCTGGGCTGAGAGAGAAGGTTTCTCATATAGACCTGGAAGGAGAAGAGGCATTTTCCTTACGGAGGATCTTCCTTGTCACAGCTCCCTTCACCTGAGCTGAGAACTCACTCCCCTGCTCTATGACCTAATGCTCTCTCTCTCTGTCTCTCACCCTCCACCCCATCTCTCTTCATGTCTATTTCCTCCTTCCACCTTCTCTGTCTCTCTAGGTCTCTGACCTCGCTTCCACACCTCTAGATATGTTTTCCCTTTTTGGATTCTTTTATTCTCTCTGACTCTCCTTGGATTGGTTGACTTGATGTTACTTTTTTAAATTCTAAGTTTCTCACTTTGTGTCCTGTTCATAACTTTCTGCATATTTCTATCTATTATCTATCGATCTATCTATTTATCTATTCGGTGCCTATCTACAAATTCTCTACCTGTCATCTATGTCTATATATCATCTATGTATCTATCACTTGTCTATCTATCCATCAATCATCTGTTATCTATATCTATGTATCATCTCTCTCTCTATGACTTCTGTCTGCCTCTCTATCTCTATGTATTATCTATCTGTCTTCATCATCATCATCTCTATGTCTCATCTATTAATGAATCAATCAATCATCATCTATGTATCTTTAACCTATTATCTATCATCTACCTATTTATCATCTATCTATATCTAACCTTCTATCATCTGTCTTGCTCTGCCTCTCGGTCTCTCTAGTTCTCTTTGGAATCTCTGCAATTCATCCCCACATCTCCATCTTTCTATGTCCTTGTGCCTCTCCCTCAGGAGTCTAATTTTAGTGCTTTTCTCTGCTCCCTTCCATCATTCTCACCACTCCTCTGCCCTCTTTTCTCTCTCTTTATGTGTCTGTGAGTCTCTCAATCTCCTTCCTCTGGCTCATTCTCTGTGTGTTTATGTCTTTGCTTTTTGGTGTCCCTGATTTCTCTCTGTGCCTCTCAGTGATCCTTTCATATGTGGGGTTATTTGGAATGTGAGCCTCAGAATCCAGTCTGGAGACCACAAGTTCACACAGCATACAGGAGTTGGTGTTCTGGGGCCATGATATCCTGGGACGGTTACTCTCCATTACATGGAAGGCAGAGGTGTCAGAATAAACACGGCATCTGTAGGTGCCACAAGGCCTGAGGCCACAGGGCCCAACTCAGGTCAGAAATATGGGTGTCCTTGGGTTCTCCTGGTAGAGAACACTTTGTGGAGGTAAAACAGAAATGAAACTTCTAACCTGTGCCAGGTCTCTGAGCAAAGTCAGCATGGAGGGACACCTCTCTCTGGGACATGTCTGTCTGTCTGTCTCCTTTAACTCCTTCTGTCTTTTCTAACTCCCGGTATGGCCCCTGTGTCTGTCCTCTGTTATGACACCTGGTCTGTACTTGTGTCTCCTGTTTCTCTGTCTCTGTTGGTACAGACCTCACCCAGTCAGTCTCTCTCCATAAGAATACCAAGCTCATCTTCCTTACAACTACCTGGGGGTTCCAAGTCGTGGATCATTCACTCTGCATCCCAATGACAATGAGAAGAATGTCCGGACACTCTCACCTGTGATGACGATGTCCAGAGGGTCACTGGGAGCTGACAACTGATGGGGGAGTGAGTAACAGAACCGTAGCATCTGTAGGTCCCTGCCAGGTCTTCCATCATGGGACCGATGGAGAAGTTGGCCTTGGAAACCCCATCATGGTGCTCTCCAGTGAGGTGCAAAGTGTCGTTAAACTTCCCTTCTCTGTGCAGAAGGAAGTGCTCAAACCTGACATCTGACCAACATTGCAGGATGACTGTCTCTTCTGATTTCACCAGGGGACCTGGGTGGGCCAGGAGGGAAGGTTTTCTGTGGACTCCTAGGAAGAGAGGTTGTGAGTTTAGAAGGTGTCTCTCTTTATCATCCCATCCATGGCACCTAGAATGAGTGAGGCTTCCCCTTGCTGGTGTCTGTCTCTCTCCTTCCTCTCTGTGTCTTCATGTTCTTTTCTGTGCCCATAACTCCTGGTGCAGGTCCTTCCATCTGTCTCCCTCCCTCTTCTCTGTCCCTCTGTCTCTAGTCGCCTCTGATTCCCTTCCCACTGGGCTTAGCCTCATCTCTTGGGGTGTTGTATCTATTTCACACTAATGTCTTTCCTGCTGTTTATGTGGGGGTGAAAGAGGAACCAGGATAGGCTGCACATCCAGCCTCTTATCAGCCTGGTTCAATCTCTTTTGGATGAATTGGAATCCTTGGCAGTAGGTATGAACTGATGAATAAGGCAGGCACCAGTGTCCACACACCCTGTTCCTGGTCGGGACTGGGAGCCACTCTTGCCATGCCTGTGCCTTCTCCATGGTGCCAGCTTCCATAGGCTGGCTCCTGGTGCTGGTTTGAGGAGTATTAACCCCTCCCTATGTGGATGGAGCCTGGTGGTGGCATCATCATCCCACACTTGCTCATCTCGGTGTAGCCAACCTTCCCCTTGTTTGGTTCCTTTAATTAATTAATTAATTATGGAGACAGAGTCTCACTCCTTCACCCCAGCTGGAGTGAAGTGGTGTGGTCTAGGGTCACTGCAACCTCTGTCTCCTGGGTTCAAGTGATTCTCCTGCCCTCAGCCTCCCAAGTCGCTAGGATTACATGCGCCTGCCACCACACCCGGCTATCCTTGTGTTGTTTCTTACCTTGTCCTTGACCTGGGTTCCAGTGTTGGTTTCCTGTTGCTGCTGTAGAAAATTATCAGAAGCATGGCAGCAGGAGAGAGCACACTGACCCATTTCACTACTGGAGACAGAAATAGGACCCTGTTTTTCCTGGGCTAAAATCAAGGCATCTGCAGGGCTTCGTTCCCTCTGGAGACTCTGGAGAATCATTTCCTTGACTTTTCCAACCTCTACAGGCCACCTGCATTCATGGCTCCTGGCCTTCCTCCACCTTCAAAGCTGGTGGAGTCTCCCATTGCGCTGCTCTAATCCCCACTCCCCTCTTCCTCCTCCTTTCATGTGGACCCTTGTGATTACACTGAGCCCAGCGGGACAGTCCAGGCTGTCTCCCCATCTCAAGGTCAACTCATCAACAACCTGAGCTCCATCTTCCCCTTCAGTTCCTTCCCCTATAACATAAATAGTCACAGACTCCAGGGATTTGAATGTAGTCATCACTGGGGACAATTATTCTTCCCACCACAGCACCCATTTCCCTGTATTCAATCCCCCTTTACCCCAAATATAGTCAGGGCCTGGGTGATGGGACCCTCAAGGACACGCCCACCAGAAGCTCTGGGATTCAGGAGGTGGGAAAGGAGAATCCAAGACAGGAGCCCTCTGACCTGTGGCCATGATCACCAGGGTGTTGCTGGGTGCCGACCACCCACTGGGGTAGTGTGGGTGTGAACCCCGACATCTGTACGTCCCTGTGTGTGCTGGGGTCACAGGGCCCATGAAAAGGCTCTTCCAGAATATTCTGTTGTAGAGCTCAGTGCCAGGCACCCCATCTTCCTTTTACAGACTGAAGTTGTTAAACCCAAGATAAGAATGACACCGAAGAATCACATGTCCTGGAGGCACCACAGAGCTGGGCCAGGCAGACAGCAAGGGCTTGTCCTGACCACCTTGGGGAGAAGGAGGCACCGCCTTAGAGAGGAGGATGTGGAGCCACCCCTCCCTCCCTGTGCTCTGAAGATTCTCCTCGCTTTCCAAGTTTCTATGGCTGCTATCACACCTTGGTGCCCAGGGCTAAAGGAAGGACCCATCCCGCAAACACAAGGTGTCTCCCTACAACAAAAGTGTCAGCTGAGAACTTTGAGCAAGTGCTGAGTAAGAGACTCCTACTAGATTTTAATACTGTAAGATTACTCACATAAAACAACACAGGGTAGACATGGGGTGGAGGGCATGTCTTTGAGAATGGAATATCAGCAGATGCCTGAATGAAAATAAGCAACTGAGCCCCCATCAGAGGATTTGGAATGTCAGGGCCATGGCTGTGGTTTCCCACCTCTTCTGGTGGAGTGACAGCAGCCACACTGCAGCCCCTACCGTCATGGAAACGCTGAAGTGTGAGTAACACCTTTGTCCTCAGAGGATCTGCTGTTCCTACCACTTCCCCACCACGCACCCCAGCTTTGAGCACCCCAGTCTAACCCTGGTCCCCACAGAACTTGACTCTGCCAAGGGAATGAAAGGCCAGGGAGGCGAGGTCGGAACTGTGGGCCGAGCACCCCAGGGTCCCCTCTTCCTAGTTTATGAGAGGCTCCCTGACAGGACTTCCCTCCTGTTTCAGGAAAATCCTCTTATGTGGGGAGATGACACCCGAAGGTTTGGAGAAGGACTCACCCTCATGTGGCCAGGCCCCCTGCAGCAAGAAGAACCCTGGAAAGAAAGATCATGATGGACGATCCATCTGCAGGCAAACCAGGGCACCCTTGCTGCCCTCACTGGGCTGTGAGTCTTGGTAGGCAGGCCCTTCCTGGACTGAAGTTAAACTCACCCTCAGTGCCTACCTGCACCCAAGAACAGGGCTGTCGGCTGTGCAGAGACCCAGCCTCCAAGCCCAGATCCCCACCACAAGCCCATATCCCCACCACAAGCCCATATCTCCACTCCAGGCCAATATTTCCACCCTAGGCCTGTATCTCCACTCCAGGCCCATATCTCCACTCCAGGCCGATATTTCCATCATAGGCCCATATCGCCAATCCAGGCCCATATCGCCAATCCAGGCCAAGATCTCCACTGTAAGCCCATATCTCCAATCCAGGCCCATATCTCCACCCCAGGCTCAGATCTCCACCCTAGGCCCATATCTCCAATCCAGGCCCATATCTCCACACCAGGCCCATATCTCTACTGAAGGCCAGTAACTCCACCTCCAGGCCCATATCTCCACTCCAGGCCCAGATCTCCACCCCAAGCCCATATCTCCACCCCAGGCCCATATCTCTACTGAAGGCCCGTAACTCCACCTCCAGGCCCATATCTCCACCCCAGGCCCAGATCTCCACCCCAAGCCCATATCTCCACTCTAGGCCCATATCTCCTCTCCAGTCCCATATCTCCACAACCAGGCCCATATCTCCATCCTAGGCCCATATTTCCACTCTAGGCCCAGATATCCACCTCTAGGCCCATATCTCCACTCCTGGCCCAAATCTCCACTCCAGGCCCATATCTCTACTATAGGCCTATAACTCCACCTCCAGGCCCATGTCTCCACTCCAGGCTCCTATCTCCCCTCCAGGTTCCTATCGGCACTCCAGGCCCAGATCTCCACTTCTAGGCCCATCACTCCATCTCTAGGCCCATATATCCACTCCAGGCCCAGATCTCCACTCCAGGCCCACAACTCCACCTCCAGGCCTATATCTCCACCTCTGGGCCCAGATCTCCAACCCCACACTCCCTTCCTCTATTCCCTTCCAGGACTCACCAACACACGCCACGCTGACGACCGTGAGCGACATGGTGCTGCCGGTGCAGACAGGCGGCCGCGCCCCAGCTCAGCTCAGCAGCGCACAGGATGTTATTTGGCGCCCTGCCCATGCAGTTTACATGTTGACCACATCATGGGAGGGTGACGTACGCAGGCTCATTCTACCTTGCATGAGGCCCAGTGGGTGCTCGCTCAAGAGCGGAACACGGCTTCCTGGAAATTGTTCTCACTAGAATTTACACCTAGCGTCCTTCACTATGACCAACTCAAAACACGTCTCAGATCCAACCTCCTGAACACGAGATGCCTAAAATCTGTGCTAACGTGAAAGACTTTTCATGTATTTTTATTGTTTTTATCTGAGATTCAAACTCTTCTTCATGTGTAATATGCAAAATATCTAATAGGTATTATTAAGGTTTTCAGAGTCATTGTGACTAATAAACCATTAGAATTTTTCATGCTTGTATTTCTAGTATTACAGCAGAACCAGTTAAAATGATTTAAATTCCCAGGGAAGGATTATGCAATTATTTACAATCTTTGAATTGTACGTTATCAGCAAAAACCACACATTTAAACTCTGGATTTTTGTAGATTTATCTAAAATTTGTCTCATGACCCAAGTTTCCAGAGTCCCAACTCTGGAGTTTGTTCTCTCTCTGTCTCTCTGCCTCCCTCATTTTAAATTTTACAGAAATATCCAGTAACATAATGCTATAGAAAATCAAGTTTCCCCCAGCACGTCGGGAAGCCGAGGTGGGCGGATCAACTGATATAAGGAGTTTGAGAGCAGCCTGGCAACACAGTGAAACCGTGTCTCTGCTAAAAATCCAAAAATTAGCCGTGCCCAGTGGCAGGAACTTGTAACGCCAGCTACCCAAGAGGCTGAGGCACGAGAATCGCTTGAACCTGGGAGGCGGAGGTTGCAGTGAGCTGAGATTGCACCACTGCAGTCCAGCCTGGGCGACAGAGCAAGACTCTGCCTCAAGAAAAAAAAAAGCAAATAGCCTATAATAACAAATTAGAGGGCTCTGGCTACTAAATTTAAAGGGTTCTATAAGGCTACATAAAGTGTAGCATCATCAAGAGTGTGGACACAGACAGCCCCTTAGCAGAAACTGTCTAAAATACATCCATGTACACACAGTCCCTTTAGAGTTGACAAAGGCTGCCGTGTGGTTTAAGGTGGCATAGAATGTCTTCTCAATAAATAATATTAAACCAATGGGTTACACCTAGTAAAAAATAAATCTAACTCACACTATAAAAACACTTCTTAGTTTTTATCTAGTTGTACATTTTTTGATTTATATTTAAATTTGAGAAATAAAAGTCATATACGGTCATCCTTCACTATTCGTGGGTGATTGGTTTCGAGATCTCCACTCAGATACCAAAATCTGTAGATGCTCAAGCCTCTTATATGAAATGGCACAGCGCTTGCAAATAACATATGCACATCCTCCTGTATACATGAAATCATCTCTTGATTACTTATAATTCCTGATACAGCCTACACACAGCTTCATTTGTGTCCATTCAACATAGTTATGAGTTTTGGAACTCTGTGGATATTTTCTCTGAATATTTTTGATTTATACTTTGTTCAATAAAGACCTGTAAACCCCACAGATACGGAGGAGTGACCGTATATTTATAGTATGAAAGATGATGTGTTGATATGTGTCCCCATGGAGATGAGACTAACAAGGCCTATGACTCTACAAATGTTTCATTGTGGAATGACTCTGCCAGCTTTCCAGGTCTGCAGAGAGTAACAATGTCACTTGTTCATGTGATTCCCGATCCTTGGAACCTCCTATGTGCTGCATCTTTGGATGGAAATTGGAGTCCCAGAGACAAATGAGGCTCCACACTGCTTCCAGAAGCTCAGAGTCCAGAGGTGAGAACCCCGTGGAGAACAGATGGGATTATATGGACATGGTACTGATAACACCGGAAGCCTTAGGCAAGAAAAGAGTCCCATTACCTAAACCATGAGGGCAGACATGTTTATTTGAAGGAGGGAAAACTACATTGAAATTATTTTAAAAAATATATAAGTTTTACTGCTGACAGAAGGCTGAAAGCTAGTCTGAGGGGAGGTGGAACAGCATGAGGGAAGGTGGAACAGCACGTGTCTAAGTGCCGTGTTAAGAGGGAGCCTCTTGTATGTTTGGAATTGTGAGTTCCTCAGTGTGATTGCAGCCTCAAGTAGACTAGGAAGTAAGCCAGTTAGGTTGGAGAGGTGGGCAGGGGTCAAGTGAAATGGAGAATTGTGGGCTAAGCAAAGGAGTGTGTTTTCTCTCCAGCAGGCAGTGGGGACCTTAGACATTTGTAAGCAAGAGAGAGGCACGTTCAGATTTGTGGTGTGAGGAAGAGCGATGCCCTAAGATGCAGACTCACGCCTTCAGATTCCAGCTGCTGGTACATTGGAGCTGGCAACCCAGTTTTGAGACAGGGCTGTTGTCTCCCTAGAAGATCCCCTCAAGGCCTGACTGTGGTGCTCATGGGCAGGAGACAACTTTGGATCAGGGCTCAGCATTTGGAAGTTCCGTGTACACGATGATATCTGTTGGGGGTGTCTTGGGCCTCTGAGAAGGGTGAGTGATTTTTCTCTGTGTGAAAACGCAGTGATTCAACTGTGCATATGTCACCTCCTGAGGGTCTTGTTCATCAGAGTCCTGGAGAGAGGGAAATCCTGAGTGAGGGAGGGTGCTCACATTTTCCAGGACTCTTTGGGAATAACACTAGCCACGAGGCTGGGCCGAGGAGCACCTACCTCCCTGTTCACTGTTCTGTTCCCTGCAGGCTCTTGGTCCATTACAACAGCATCTGTAGAAGACGGAAGTCAACAAAACAGCTCAGAGGGCACTTCTGGGCCCTCATTTCATAAGCAGATACCAACATACAGGGGGAGACCATAGGAGCCTGAGGTCCCTCAGTTGCCAACAGCAGACTCAGACATTCTATCTCTCTGAGCTCAAGGACCCATCCCATGAATAGCTCTGAGTTCCCATCCCATTGATTCTGTCTCCCACTTTCTGCCTGTCATGGAACCTTCTCCTGGATGTGAGTGGCTGCAGGGGACATGAGGATACAGTTCAGAATCAGGCAATGGTCTGTGAGCTGAAGGCAGGGACAGGGAGTCTGGTGCTCTCTCTAGAAAGTCCTCCCTCTGTGGCTGCTGCCTTGGGCCAGGGACCATCCTGTCTGTGAGGAACACACACCTGAGTGCTCCCATCCTGCTTCCCCACATGGCCCTGAGCTCTCTGGCCTCTGCTTCGTGAGACTTACTTTTTTTGTTGCAGCACCAGCGATGAAGGAGAAAGAAGAGGAGGAGGATGAAGAGGATGATGACCACTGAGGTCCCAATCAGAACATGCAGGTGTCTGGGGTTACCTGGAAGAAGAGGAGACACCAATAAGAAGCTAATCATAGCAGTTCCTCTTTATGAATTGTCTCACATTTCTTGATTGACAGGTAACCACATACAACACCCCTTTAGGACAAGCACCCAGATGGAGGGAGACCCAGCTTTCTCCTGCTTTCTCAGTTATAGCTCTCATAGTAACCATAGAACGTGTTGAGGATACAACTACTTTAGTTGAGATGTTTGACCCCTTCAAACCTCACATTGAAATTTCACCCCCACTGTGGGAGGTTGGGCCTCTTGAGAGGTGTTTGGGTCATGGAGGTGGATCCATCATGAACAGACCAATGCTGTCCCAAGGAGACGGGGTTAGCAAGTTCCCCTTCTATTAGTTCCTGGAGAGCTGGTTGTTCAAAAGAGCTTGGAAGCTCCATCGCTCCCCCTCCCCCTTGCTCCCTCTCTTGCCGTGTGATCTCTGTGGTCTCTGCACAGACAGACCCTCCTTCCCTTCTGCCAGAGTGGGAGCAGCCTGAGGCCGTCACGAGAAATAGATGCTGGTGCCACGCTTCCAGTATAGCCTGCAGAACTGTGAGGCAAACCAATCTCTTTTCTCTAGAAGTTACCCAGGCTCAAGTGTTCCTTTAGAGCAACAAAAATGGACTAAGACAGCAACGTCCTGAGATCAGGAGGAACGTCTCAGAACAGCCTGGGCTGTCTTCCTGTTCTTCCTGGAGGAGGACGTCATGCAGTGCTTTAGCTGAGTGCTTCCTGTGGCTCCACAGTACAAAACCCAGGCTGGGCTGCTCTCTGGCTTCCCCCAGCTACACTGCAAATGGGGTGACTCCATATGTCCCGAGGAGCTTTTCTGAGCCTTGAGGGACTGGCTCACATTGAAATGTAGGTTTCTGTTGTCACTCGCTGCTTATCTGTTAGTAATGAACCTGCCTGTGTAATGTATTCTCTGTGTGTTCTGTCTCCCTGGAGTGACGGTGAGTGATAGGAATTGGCATAAGCCCAGGTGCAGTCCAGGAGGTATTTAGAGTCTTCTCTGGGAAGACTGCACTGGGATTGATACACAGCGAATGTGCTTTAGGATTTCTACATCCACAGCATTCTTGAATCAAACAACTTGCATTCTCCAAGAAAAGGAAACAAAAGTGAAATCAAGATAAAAAAAGCTAAGTAGAATTCTCTTATGTCAAATGGCCAGGAAATAGTGTTGAAGCCCGTGTGAAACGTGCTACTCTTTGTGATCTCGGGAGACACATGTTAGGCTGCTGTTCTACCTGAGAGGCTGGGGGAAGGACCACCCCCTCGGCCATCTATTGCTTCAATACCACCTGTCCTCCTGTGAATTAGTAGGAAAGGGGAGCAGGAGCTAGTGCTGGCACTGATCTCTGATTCCAAGATCTGGACTCACTCCAAGGAGTATCAATGTTTACCTCCCCATAGCCTATCTGAATCTCCACAGGTGATTGGAAGTAGGGGTGAGGTGGGGGATTTGGGTGAGTGGGCAAGTTTTTTGTTGCGATGAACAGAGCACTTTCTCTATTCCACGATCTGTGCTGGAGGATTCTGAGGGCTTTCACATTTTCTATGTGATCTCATTCTCACAGAAAGCCAAATAGGGAAGAGGTTTTAAGCTCATTGCCTAATGGATAAGATAAAGGATCAAAGAAGTAATTATAGAGAAATAGAAAAACGATGATTGGAATTCAGGTGCCTTTGTCATTCGTGTGTGTTTTATTATATTTATGTATTTCTTATTTTTATTTTTTGAGATAGAGTCTCCTTGTGTCCCCCAGGCTGGAGTGCAGTGATGCAATCTCCACTCACTGCAACCTCCACCTACTGGGTTGAAGTCGTTCTCCTGCTTCATCCTCCAGAATAGGAGCTGGGATTACAGGGATGCACCATCGTGCTCGGCTAATTTTTGTATTTTTAGTAGAGATAGGGTTTCACCACGTTGGCCAGGCTGGTCTGGAACTCCTGACTTCATGGAATCCACCCACCTTGGCCTCCTGCAGTGCTAGGTTACAGGCGTGAGCCACTGTTCACAGACTTGTATATTATGCTATAATAAGTCTCTTCATTTCCACCACCACTCATATATCTGTCACTCCTTTGCCAGGTATTGATTTATGTGTAGGATGAATAAATCTCAGAAAGAAATTAATTAAGCGAGGATTAAACAAGTAGGAAAATCAAACCCAGTAAGCCTTTCCAGTCAACGATTCTACCTCACAAACATATCTTATATCCATCTACTTCATTCATTTAGTGTCTAAATCAGCACCACATTTCACCAGTGGGGCGGCAATTGCCTTTTCCACGGTCTCCTAGATTCCAGTTATGCAACTGAGCCTCCCTTATTTTCATGTCCGTCATATTAATCATGTAGGGATTCCTGGTTACCCCGAGGTGAATCCAATGGCTGTGAGTGTCAAACACACACTCCTTGTTGCTCCTTAGTTTCCTGTGTACCCAGTGTGCTCTCCGTCTCCCTACAGTCGTCTTGTCATTCTCCCCACCTCATTCCCAGCATTTGAGGCAGAGCCTCTTCCTTCCACATCAGATTGTTTTCACCTTTGTGCCTTCACGGCTGACAGCTGTGTGTGCAAAATCCTTCCGCCAATCTTTCAGGGGTTCAATCCGTGTTTTTCATTAATGTCACAAATATCTGAATAGAGAGACCTTCTTTGTCACCTGAAATCATACACTCAGCATTATCTATTATTGATTTTGAATTCTGGCTGGGCACAGTGGCTCACGCCTGTAGTCCCATTACTTTGGCATGCTGAGACGGTCGGATCACTTGAGGTTGGGAGTTTCAGACAAGCTTGGCCAACGTGGTGAAACATCCTTTCTACAAAAAATATACAAAAAGAATTAGCCGGGCACGGTGGCAGTTGCCTGTAATCCCAGCTACTCGAGAGGCGGAGGCAGGAGAATCACTTGAATCCAGGAGACGCAGGTTGCAGTGAGCCAAGATCGTGACACTGCACTGTAGCCTGGAAGACAGAGGGCGACTCTGTCTCAATAAACAAAAGAACAAACAAAAAATAGATTTCATGCACAGATGCTTCCCAATGGATCATTCATTTATAGATCCACTTGTGCATTCATTTTCTGCCCTCCCATTTAACCATCTGCAATATCAGTGTCCCAAGGGCAGAGGCCAAATGCATCTTGTTCACCGTTTGTGGAAGGCAGGAGAATGCTGTCCCACCCCAAAATGTCCCTGTCCTAGCCTCCATAGCTTGTGAATATGTTATTTTACATGGAAAGGAGGAATGAAGATTGTAGATGGAATTGCGGTTGCTAATCAGCTGAACTTAAAACAAGGGTATCCTGGATGATTTCCAGGAGATTATGAGGGATTTTCATCTTGGTGAACCCAATAGAATCCCCAAGTTTTCAAAAGATAAGGAAGAAGGGAGAGCAGCATTCAGAGAAAGAGGTGTGGTAAGGAAGAAGGCACTGAGTGATGCCATGTGAGATGTGACCAGTCTTTGTGGGCTTTGAGGAAGGAGGAAGGGGAACAGGAGCCAAGGAACTGGGAGCCTTTAGAAGCTGGGATAAGTGAGAAGCAGATTCTTGCCTGGAATCCTCAGAGGGAAGGCAGCCTTGCTGTCACCTTGATTTTAGCCCAGTAAGATGCACTTCCTACTTTGAGCTACAGCACTGTAAGATAATTAAAAAACCGTTTTGTTTTCACCCACGAATCTTGTGGAAATTTGTTATGGCAACAATAGGAAAAGGTTCCGCACTGCACAGCCTGAGCATGGGGCCGTGGCTGAATGAGTCAGTGAGTCGAAGTGTGCGTGCATGAGCTCCGTTCTCTGTTACGGCAAGGCTGTTGCTCTGCTGAGTCAGCCAGGGTTGCTTCATGACCAACAGTAATTCATTCCTTGGCAAGTGGAACTTCTCTAAAACACCTCGCCCTCATCAGATGTTCCCTTCCCTTCCCTCTCTCAAGCCCCCAGGAATTTATCCTCCAGTTAGGAATGCAGGCAGAACAAACATTGCATTTTTCCTGAGAAGGATGTCAGATTGGCAATCATTCTTCTAGCTTGTAGGAGATCTCAGCTCCATAAAATGAGAGATTAAGAGATTTCACTGAGCCCTAGGTTGGGCCCAGATCCCTTTCGCTGTTGGAGTATCTGGAGTTCGGAGATGGTAGAAGACAGGCGTACAATGTCAGAGCTGCGAGATGCTGAGTCAATGCCTGCATCGAAGGTTTCTACCTCCCCAGGTTTCCAAAAGCGGATATAAGAGGGTTCTGTACTCACCGGTTTCGGAGCTTGGTTCAGTGGGTGAAAGCCAACTATTTGAAGGGTTTCCTAGAACATGAGACAGGAGAGAGGTGAGGAAATGAGGGTGTCTGTCCTCTACTCAATGGAAATCTTTGAGGTTGGTTCATGGCCAACACTCTGTTATCTAATATTGGGCCCTGGGAGTCCTGGGATCCTTTTTTCCGTAATTTTTGTATGTGACGCCCACTGTCTTGAGACTTCAAGGTATAAAGAGAAAACAGGAGCATCACACTACCTGATCTCAAAATATGTTACAGAGCTGTAGTAAGCAAAACAGCATCACATTGGCATAAAGAAAGGCACGTAGAACAATGGAGCAGAATGAAGAACACAGATATAATCCATGCATTTACCTCCAATGTTTTTTTCTTTTTTCTTTTGAGATGGAGTCTCGCTCTGTCGCCCAGGCTGGAGTGCAGAGGTGCAATCTCGGTTCACTGCCACCACAGCCTCCTGGGTTCAATCAATTCTCTGGCCTCAAACTCCTGAGTAGTGGTATTACAGGTGCTGACCACCATGCTCAGCTAATTTTTATATTTTTAGTGGAGACAATGTTTCATCACGTCGGCCAGACTAATCTTGAACTCCTGGCCTCAGGTGATCCACCCGCCTTGGGCTCCCAAAGTGCTGAAATTGCAGGTGTCAGCCACCATGCCCAGCCCATCCAATGGACTTTGACAAAGGTGCCAAGAACTCACAATCAGGAAAGGACAGTCTTTTCAATAAACAGTGCAGGGAAACCTGGACATCTACATGCAGAGGAATGAAACTGCACCTCTACCTGTCACTATACACAAAACTCAAATGAAAATGGATTAAAGATGTGAGTCTAAGGCCTGAACCTATGAAACACGTAGAAGAAAATATTGGGGAAATGCTCCAGGACATTTGTCTGAAGGAAGACATTTTGTTTTAAACCTTCAAAACACAAGTAATCGAAGCAAAAATAGACCATTGGGATTACCTCAAACTAAGCAACTTCTGCACCGCTAAAAATAAACCAACAAAGTGAAGAGACAACCCACAGATTGGGAGCAAATATGTGCAAACTATGCATCTGAGATGGGATTAATAACTAGAAATATAAGAAGCTCAAACAACTCAATAAAACAAATGATTTAATTGAAAAAGGAGCAAAACACATGAAATTTCCCCACATACTAAAAAGTGCTCAGTTTCACTCATCATCAGAGAAACACAAATTAAAATCAAAGTGAGTTTTCATCTCACCCCATTAAAATGGATTTTAGGCCGGGCGTGGTGGCTCACGTCTGTCATCCTAGACCTTTGAGAGCCTGAGGTGGGTGAATCTCATAAGGTCGGGAGTTTGAGACCAGTCTGACCCACATGGAGAAACACTGTCTCTACTAAAAATACAAAATTTAGTTGGGCGTGGTGGCGTGTGCCTGTAATTCCAGCTACTCGGGAGGCTGAGGCAGGAGAATCGCTTGAACCTGGGAGGTGGAGGTTGTGGTGAGCCGAGATCGCACCACTGCACTCCAGCCTGGGTGACAAGAGCGAAACTCCATCTCAAAATAAAATGAAATAAAATAAAATGGCTTTTAGCTGCAAGACAGGCAAAGGAAATCCTGCCAAAGTGGTAGAGAAAGGAGAACCCTAATACCCTGTTGGTAGGAGTGTAAATTAGTACAGCCTTTACGGAGAAAAGTGTGGAAGTCCTTTAAAGAACTAAAAAGAGGTTGGGTGAGGTGGATCATGCCTGTAATCCCGGCACTTTGGGAGACCGAGGCGGGCACCTCAGTTGAGGTCATGAGTTTGAGAGCAGCCCAGCCAACATGGGGAAACCGCATCTATACTAAAAAAAACAAAAAGTAGCCAGGCATGGTGGCGTGCACCTGTAATCCCAGCTACTAGGGAGGCTGAGGCAGGAAAATCATTTGAACCCAGGAGGCGGAGGTTGCAATGAGCCAAGATGACTTCACTTGTACTCCAGCCTGGGCACAGAGGGAAACTGTCTCAAAAACAAAAACAAAACAACAAACGAATAACTAAAAAGAGAACTTTCATAGTATCCAGCAATTTCACTACTGGGTTTATATCCAAAGGAAAGTAAATCAATATATCGAAGTGATATCTGCACTCGTATGATTGGTGCAGCACTGTTCACAGTAGCCAAGATGTGGAGTCAACCTACCTGCCCATCAGTGGATGAATGGATAGAGAGAATGTAGTACATACGCACAGTGGAGACTACTCATCCATAGAAAGAATAACATCCTGATATTTGCAGCCACATGGATGGAACTGGAAGTCATTACAAAGATTCCCATTTCTCACCCATATACAGAGCTAAAAGGTGGATCTCATGAAGGTAGAGAGTAGAATGGTGGCTTCCAGAGGCCAGGAATAAAAGGGTGGAGGGTAAAAAAAAAAAAAAAAAAAAAAAAAAAAAATATATATATATATATATATATATATATATATGTATATATGTGTGTGTGTGTGTATATATATATATATATATATATATATATATATATATATATAAATGTATTTATGACCACTAGACTTTACACTTAAAAATGGTAAATGTGGCTGGGCGTGGTGGCTCATGCCTGTAATCCCAGCACTTTGGGAGGCAGATGCGGGTGGATCACGTGGTCAGGAGTTGGAGACCAGCTCGACCAACATGGTGAAACCCCCTCTCTACTAAAAATACAAAAAGTAGCCTGGCGTGGTGGTGCGCGCCTGTAGCACCAGCTACTCAGGTGGCTGAGGCAGGAGAATCACTTGAACCCAGGAGGCGGAAGTTGCAGTGAGCTGAGATTGTGCCACTGCACTCCAGCATAGGGGACAGAGCTAGACTCTGCCTCAAAAAAAAAAAAAATGTTAAAGGTGGTAAGCTATATAGGTATATTTATCCTCAATAAATATTTCTTCAAACAAAAGTAAAGGGTGTAGGGGTTGCTGGTGATGACATCCCTGTGTGGGTGAGAGGCCAGGATGGGCTTCTGGGAAATGGGTAATGTTGAGGGGCTGAGGGAACCTCTGATCTTCCCAAACTGAGCCCAGTCTCTCTCCTCTGCGTCTCTCCTGACCGTTTTCTCCATCTGCCTGTGTGCCTGGAGCCCTGGCCGCGGGCCTTCATGCAGGCCGTGTAGGAGGGTTTGGAGGTGCCCTGTCTGCCATCCTGTGCCCTGATCCCTCCCTCACACCCAAGCTTCGTCTTCTCTCTGCATCTGTCCATGCTTCTCTCCATCATCAGCAGGAAGCTCCTCAGCTAAGGCTCTAGGATCATAGGACATGAGACAGATATGGGGTTTCCTCACCTGTGACAGAAACAAGCAGTGGGTCACTCGAGTTTGACCACTCGTATGGAGAGTCACGGAAAGAGCCGAAGCATCTGTAGGTTCCTCCGTGGGTGGCAGGGCCCAGAGGAAAGTCGGCCTGGAATGTTCCGTTGACCTTGGGCCCTGCAGAGAACCTACGTTCATGGGCCTCCCCCTCCCTGGATAGATGGTACATGTCATAGGAGCTCCGGGAGCTGCAGGACAAGGTCACGCTCTCTCCTGCCAGAACCGTGGGGCCCGGCTGGGCTGAGAGAGAAGGTTTCTCATATAGACCTGGAGGAGAAGAGGCATTTTCCTTACGGAGGATCTTCCTTGTCACAGCTCCCTTCACCTGAGCTGAGAACTCACTCCCCTGCTCTATGACCTAATGCTCTCTCTCTCTCTCTCTCACCCTCCACCCCATCTCTCTTCATGTCTATTTCCTTCTTCCACCTTCTCTGTCTCTCTAGGTCTCTGACCTCGCTTCCCCACCTCTAGATATGTTTTCCCTTTTTGGATTCTTTTATTCTCTCTGACTCTCCTTGGATTGGTTGACTTGATGTTACTTTTTTAAATTCTAAGTTTCTCACGTTGTGTCCTGTTCATAACTTTCTGCATATTTCTATCTATTATCTGTCGATCTATCTATTTATCTATTCGGTGTCTATCTACAGATTCTCTACCTGTCATCTATATCTATATATCATCTATGTATCTATCACTTGTCTATCTATCCATCAATCATCTGTTATTTATATGTATGTATCATCTCTCTCTCTATGATTTCTGTCTGCCTCTCTATCTGTACGTATTATCTGTCTTCATCATCATCATCTCTATGTATTATCTATTAATGAATCAATCAATCATCATCTATGTATCTTTAACCTATTATCTATCATCTACCTATTTATCATCTATCTATATCTATCCATCTATCATCTGTCTTGCTCTGCCTCTCGGTCTCTCTAGCTCTCTTTGGAATCTCTGCAATTCATCCCCACATCTCCATGTTTCTATGTCCTTGTGCCTCTCTCTCAGGACTCTAATTTTAGTGCTTTTCTCTGCTCCCTGCCATCATTCTCACCACTCCTCTGCCCTCTTTTCTCTCTCTTTATGTGTCTGTGAGTCTCTCAATCTCCTTCCTCTGGCTCATTCTCTGTGTGTTTATGTCTTTGCTTTTTGGTGTTCCTGATTTTTCTCTGTGCCTCTCAGTGATCCTTTCATATGTGGGGTTATTTGGAATGTGAGCCACAGAATCCAGTCTGGAGACCACAAGTTCACACAGCATACAGGGGTTGGTGTTCTGGGGCCATGATATCCTGGGACGATTACTCTCCATTACATGGAAGGCAGAGGTGTCAGAATAAACATGGCCTGTAGGTGCCACAAGGCCTGAGGCCACAGGGCCCAACTCAGGTCATAAATATGGGTGTCCTTGGGTTCTCCTGGTAGAGAACACTTTGTGGAGGTAAAACAGAAATGAAACTTCTAACCTGTGCCAGGTCTGTGAGCAAAGTCAGCATGGAGGGACACCTCTCTCTGGGACATGTCTGTCTGTCTGTCTCTTTTAACTCTTTCTGTCTTTTCTAACTCCCTGTATGGCCCCTGTGTCTGTCCTCTGTTATGACACCTGGTCTGTACTTGTGTCTCCTGTTTCTCTGTCTCTGTTGGTACAAACCTCAGCAAGTCAGTCTCTCTCCATAAGAATACCAAGCTCATCTTCCTTACAACTACCTGGGGGTTCCAAGTCGTGGATCATTCACTCTGCATCCCAATGACAATGAGAATGTCCGGACACTCTCACCTGTGATGACGATGTCCAGAGGGTCACTGGGAGCTGACAACTGATAGGGGGAGTGAGTAACAGAACCGTAGCATCTGTAGGTCCCTGCAAGGTCTTGCATCATGGGACCGATGGAGAAGTTGGCCTTGGAGACCCCATCATGGTGCTCTCCAATGAGGTGCAAAGTGTCCTTAAACTTCCCTTCTCTGTGCAGAAGGAAGTGCTGAAACCTGACATCTGACCAACATTGCAGGATGACTGTCTCTTCTGATTTCACCAGGGGACCTGGGTGGGCCAGGAGGGAAGGTTTTCTGTGGACTCCTAGGAAGAGAGGTTGTGAGTTTAGAAGGTGTCTCTCTTTATCATCCCATCCATGGCACCTAGAATGAGTGAGGCTTCCCCTTGCTGGTGTCTGTCTCTCTCCTTCCTCTCTGTGTCTTCATGTTCTTTTCTGTGCCCTTAACTCCTGGTGCAGGTCCTTCCATCTGTCTCCCTCCCTCTTCTCTGTCCCTCTGTCTCTAGTAGCCTCTGATTCCCTTCCCACTGGGCTTAGCCTCATCTCTTGGGGTGTTGTATCTATTTCACACTAATGTATTTCCTGCTGTTTATGTGGGGGTGAAAGAGGAACCAGGATAGGCTGCACATCCAGGCTCTTATCAGCCTGGTTCAATCTCTTTTGGATGAATTGCAATCCTTGGCAGAAGGTATGAACTGATGAATAAGGCAGGCACCAGTGTCCACACACCCTGTTCCTGGTGGGGACTGGGAGCCACTCTTGCCATGCCTGTGCCTTCTCCATGGTGCCAGCTTCCATAGGCTGGCTCCTGGTGCTGGTTGGAGGAGTATCAACCCCTCCCTATGTGGATGGAGCCTGGTGGTGGCATCATCATCCCACCCTTGCTGATCTCAGGGTAGCCAACCTTCTCCTTGTTTGGTTTCTTTAATTAATTAATTAATTTTGGAGACAGAGTCTCACTCCTTCACCCAGGCTGGAGTGAAGTGGTGTGGTCTAGGCTCACTGCAACCTCTGTCTCCTGGGTTCAAGTGATTCTCCTGCCCTCAGCCTCCTGAGTCGCTAGGATTACATGCACCTGCCACCATGCCTGGCTTTCCTTGGGTTGTTTCTTAACTTGTCCTTGACCTGGGTTCCAGTGTTGGTTTCCTGTTGCTGCTGTAGAAAATTATCAGAAGCATGGCAGCAGGAGAGACCACACTGACACCTTCCAGTACTGGAGACAGAAATTGGACCCTATTTTTCCTGGGCTAAAATCAAGGCATCTGCAGGGCTTTGTTCCCTCTGGAGACTCTGGAGAATCAGTTCCTTGACTTTTCCAGCCTCTATAGGCCACCTGCATTCATGGCTCTTGGCCTTCCTCCACCTTCAAAGCTGGTGAAGACTTCCACTGGACTGCTCTAATCCCCACTCCCCTCTTCCTCCTCCTTTCATGTGCACCCTTGTGATTACACTGAGCCCAGTGGGACAGTCCAGGCTGTCTCCCCATGAGCTCCATCTTCCCCTTCAGTCCCTTCCCCTATAACATAAATAGTCACAGACTCCAGGGATTAGAATGTAGTCATCACTGGGGACAATTATTCTTCCCACCACAGCACCCATTTCCCTGTATTCAATCCCCCTTTACCACAAATACAGTCAGGGCCTGCGTGATGGGACCCTCAAGGACATGCCCACCAGAAGCTCTGGGATTCAGGAGGTGGGACAAGGAGAATCCAAGACAGGAGCCCTCTGACCTATGACCACGATCACCAGGGGGTTGCTGGGTGCTGACCACCCACTGGGGGAGTGTGTGTGTGAACCCCGACATCTGTATGTCCCTGTGTGTGCGGGGGTCACAGGGCCCATGAAAAGGCTGTTCCAGAATATTCTGTTGTAGAGCTCAGGGACAGGCACCCCACCTTCCTTGTACAGACTGAAGTTGTTAAACCCAAGATAAGAGTGACACCGAAGAATGACATGTCCTAGAGGCACCACAAGGCTGGGCCAGGCAGACAGCAAGGGCTTGTCCTGACCACCTTGGGGAGAAGGAGGCGCCGCCTTAGAGAGGAGGATGTGGAACTGCCCTTCCCTCCCTGTGCTCAGAAGATTCTCCTCGCTTTCCACGTTTCTATGGCTACTATCACACCTTGGTGCCCAGGGCTGAAGGAAGGACCCATCCCGCAAAGACATGGTGTCTCCCTACAACAAAAGCCTCAGCTGAGAACTTTGAGCAAGTGCTGAGTAAAGAGACTCCTACTAGATTTTAATACTGTAAGATTACTCACATAAAACAACACAGGGTAGACATGAGGTGGAGGGCATGTCCTTTGTGAATGGATATCAGCGGATGCCTGAACGAAAATAAACAACTGAGCCCCCATCAGAGGATTTGGAATGTCAGGGCCATGGCTGTGGTTTCCCACCTCTTCTGGTAGAATGACAGCAGCCACACTGCAGCCCCTACCATCATGGAAACGCTGAAGTGTGTGAGTAACACCTTTGTCCTCAGAGGATCTGCTGTTCCTACCACTTCCCAACCACACACCCCAGCTTTGAGCACCCCAGTCTAACCCTGGTCCCCACAGAACTTGACTCTGCCAAGGGGTTGAGAGGCCAGGGAGGCGAGGTCAGAAATGTGGGCTGAGCACCCCAGGGTCCTCTCTTCCTAGTTTATGAGAGACTCCCCGACAGGACTTCCCTCCTGTTTCAGGAAAATCCTCTTATGTGGGGAGATGACACCCGAAGGTTTGGAGAAGGACTCACCCTCATGTGGCCAGGCCCCCTGCAGCAAGAAGAACCCTGGAAAGAAAGATCATGATGGACCATCCATCTGCAGGCAAACCAGGCCTCCCTTGCTGCCCCCACTGGGCTGTGAGTCTTGGCAGCCAGGCCCTTCCTGGGCTGAAGTTAAACTCACCCTCAGTGCCTACCTGCACCCAAGAACAGGGCTGTCGGCTGTGCAGAGACCCAGTTTCCAGGCCCATATCCCCACCCCAAGCCCATATCTCCACTCCAGGCTGATATTTCCACCCTAGGCCCATATCGCCAATCCAGGCTCAGATCTCCACCCTAGGCCCCTATCTCCAATCCAGTCCCATATCTCCGCCCCAGGCCCAGATCTCCACCCTAAGCCCATATCTCCACTCCAGGCCCATATCACCTCTCCAGTCCCATATCTCCACACCCAGGCCCATATCTCCTTCCTAGGCCCATATCTCCACTCCAGGCCCAGATATCCACCTCTAGGCCCATAACTCCACTCCTGGCCCATATCTCCACTCCAGGCCCATATCTCTACTGCAGGCCCGTATCTCCACCTCCAGACCCATATCTCCACTCCAGGCCCATATCTCCACCTCCAGGCCCATATCTCCACCTCCAGGCCCATATCTCCACTCCAGGCCCATATCTCCACTCCAGGCCCATATCTCCACTCCAGGCCCCTATCTCTACTGCAGGCCCATATCTCCATCTCCAGGCCCATATCTCCATCTCCAGGCCCATGTCTCCACTACAAGCCCATATCTCTACTGCAGGCCCATATCTCAACCTCCAGGCCCATATCTCCACTCCAGGCCCAGATCTCCACTCCAGGCCCAGATCTCCACTTCTAGGCCCATCACTCCATCTCTAGGCCCATAACTCCACTTCCAGGCCTATATCTCCAACTCTGGGCCCCGATCTCCATCCCCGCACTCCCTCCCTCGATGCCCTTCCAGGACTCACCAACACACACCATGCTGACGACCATGAGCGACATGGTGCTGTCTGTGCAGACAGGCGGCCGCGCCCCAGCTCAGCTCAGCAGCGCACAGGATGTTATTTGGCGCCCTGCCCATGCAGTTTACATGTTGACCACATCATGGGAGGGTGACGTACGCAGGCTCTTTCTACCTTGCATGAGGCCCAGTGGGTGCTCGCTCAAGAGCGGAACATGGCTTCCTGGAAATTGTTCTCACTAGAATTGACACCTTGCGTCCTTCACTACGACCAGACTCAAAAGACGTCTCAGATCCAACCTCTCATACACGAGATGATTGAATTCTGTGCTTACATTAAAGATTTTTGATGTATTTTTGTTTTTATCTGAGATTCAAACTCTTCTTCATATGTAATGTGCAAAATGTCTAACAGGTATTATTAACATTATCAGAGTAATTGTGACAAGAAGCCATTCTAATTTTCCTGCTTGAGTTTCTACTACTAAACCAGAGGCATCAGAATAGCTTGAACCTGGGAGACGGAGGTTGCAGTGAGCTGAGCTCAAGCCACTGAACTCCAGCTTGGGTGACAGAGGAAGAGTCTGTCTCAAGAAAAAAAAAAAAAGCAAACTAAATAACCTATAATAACAAATCAGAGGACTCAGGTTACCAAATTTTAAGGGGTTCTATAAGTTTATATAAAATGCAGCATCCTCATGAGAGGGGATACAGAGAACCACTGGACAGAAAACTGTGTCTAAAATACATCTGTGGATACACAGTCCCTTTATAGTTGACAAAGGCTGCCATGTAGTTTAAGGTGGAATAGAATATTTTCTCAACAAATAACACAGGACCATAGGGTTACACGTAGGAAAAAATAAATCTAAACTTATCCTCACACTATAAAAACACTTCTTATTTTTTATCTTGTTGTTGTAAATTTTTTATGCTTTATTTTTAAGATTGACAAATAAAAATTATATACCATGGTCCTTCACTATACCTGGGTGATTGGTTCCAGGATCCCCATTCAGATACCAAAATCTGCAGATGCTCAAGCCCCTTGCATGAAATGGCATAGTGAAGCTGGGCACCGTGGCTCACGCCTGTAATCCCAGCACTTTGGGAGGCTGAGCTGGGTAGATCACAAGGTCAGGAGTTCAAGACCAGCTGGTCCAACATTCTGAAACCCCATCTCTACTAAAAATATACACACAAAAAAATTTATCTGTGCAGGGTGGCACGTGCCTGTAATCCTAGGGGAGGCTACTGGGGAGGCTGAGGGAAGAGAATCGCTTGAACCTGGAAGGCGGAGGTTGCAGTGAGTTGAGATCACGCCACTGCACTCCAGCCTGGGTGAGAGAGTGAGACTGTCTCAAAAAAAAAAAAAAAATAGCATAGCAATTGCATAGAACCCATGCACATCCTCCTGTATACATGAAATCATCTCTTGATTACTTATAATTCCTGACACAGCCTACACGCCACTCAATTTGTGTCGATTCAACATAGTTTTTTGCTTTTTGAAACTTCGGGGATTTTTTTTCTCAAAATATTTTTGATTTATTGCTGATTCAATAAACATGTGTAAACCCCAGAGATATGGAGGAGTGACTGTCTATTTATAGTAGTATGAAAGATGATGTGTTGATACGTGTCCCTGTGGAGATGAGACTAACAAGGCCTATGACTCTACAAATGTTTCATCGTGGAATGACTCTGCCAGCTTTCCAGATCTGCAGAGAGTAAGAATATCACTTGTTCATCTGATTCACCATCCTTGGAACCTCCTATGTGCTGCATCTTTGGATGGAAATTGGAGTCTCAGAGACAATTCAGGCTCCACCATGCTTCCAGAAGCTCAGAGTCCAGGGCTGAGAACCCAGCGGAGAACAGATGGGGTTATGTGGACGTGGTAATGATAACACCGGAAGCCTTAGGCAAGAAAAGAGTCCCATTGAAGAAACCATGAGGGCAGACATGTTTACTTGAAGAATAGAAAACTACATTGAAATTATAAAAAAAATTTATAAGTTTTACTGCTGACAGAAGGCTGAAAGATACTCTGAGGAAAGGTGGAATAGCACGTATCTAAGTGCCGTGTTAAGAGGGAGCCTCTTATATGTTTGGAATTGTGAGTTCCTCAGTGTGATCGCAGCCTCAAGTAGACTAGGAAGTAAGCCAGTTAGGTTGGAGAGGTGGGCAGGGGTCAAGTGAAATGGAGAATTGTGGGCTAAGCAAGTGTGTTTTCTCTCCAGCAGGCAGTGGGGACCTTAGACATTTGTAAGCAAGAGAGAGGCATGTTCAGATTCGTGGTGTGAGGAAGAGCGATGCCCTAAGATGCAGACTCACGCCTTCAGAGTCCAGCTGCTGGTACATGGGAGCTGGCAACCCGGTTTTGAGACAGGGCTATTGTCTCCCTAGAAGATCCCATCAAGGCCTGACTGTGGTGCTAGTGGACAGAAGACAACTTTGGATCTGCGCTCAGCATTTGGAAGTTCCGTGTTACACGCTGGTATCTGTTGGGGGTGTCTTGGGCCTCTGAGAAGGGCGAGTGATTTTTCTCTGTGTGAAAACGCAGTGATTCAACTGTGCGTATGTCACCTCCTGAGGGTCTTGTTCATCAGAGTCCTGGAGGGAGGGAAATGCTGAGTGAGGGAGGGTGCTCACATTTTCCAGGACTCTTTGGGAATAAGACTAGCCACGAGGCTGGGCGGAGGAGCACCTACCTCCCTGTTCACTGTTCTGTTCCCTGCAGGCTCCTGGTCCATTACAACAGCATCTGTAGAAGACGGAAGTCGTCAAAACAGCTCGGAGGGCACTTCTGGGTCCTCATTTCATAAGCAGATACCAACATACAGGGGGAGGCCATAGGTGCCTGAGGTCCCTCAGTTGCCAACAGCAGACTCAGACATTCTATCTCTCTGAGCTCAAGGATCCATCCCATGTATAGCTCTGAGTTCCCATCCTATTGATTCTGTGTCCCACTTTCTGCCTGTCATGGAACCTTCTCCTGGATGTGAGTGGCTGCAGGGGATGTGAGGATACGGTTCAGAATCAGGCAATGGTCTGTGAGCTGAAGGCAGAGGCAGGGAGTCTGGTGCTCTCTCTAGAAAGTCCTGCCTCTGTGGCTCCTGCCTTGGGCCAGGGACCATCCAGTCTGTGAGGAACTCACACCTGAGTGCTCCCATCCTGCTTCCCCACATGGCCCTGAGCTCTCTGGCTTCTGCTTCGTGAGACTTACTCTTTTTGTTGGCACACCAGCGATGAAGGAGAAAGAAGAGGAGGATAGCAAAGGGGATGATGACCACTGAGGTCCCAATCAGAACGTGCAGGTTTCTGGAGTTACCTGGAGGAAGACAAGACACCAATAAGAAGCTAATCATAGCAGTTCCTCTATATGAATTGTCTCACATTTCTTGATTGACAGGTAACCACATACAACGTCTCTTTAGGACAAGCACCCAGATGGCGGGAGACCTAGCTTCCTCCTGCTTTCTCAGTTGTAGTAACCATAGAACGTGCTGAGGATACAACTGCTTTAGTTTAGATGTTTGACCCCTTCAAACCTCACATTGAAATGTAACCCCCAGAGTGGGAGGTTGGGCCTCTTGGGAGTTGTTTGGGTCATGGAGGTGGATCCATCATGAACAGATCAATGCTGTTCCAAGGAGACGGGGTTAGCAAGTTCCCCCTCTATTAGTTCCTGGAGAACTGGTTGTTAAAAGAGCTTGGAAGCTCCATCGCTCCCCCTCCCCCTTGGTCCCTCTCTTGCCGTGTGATCTCTGTGGTCTCTGCACAGACAGACCCTCCTTCCCTTCTGCCAGAGTGGGAGCAGCCTGAGGCCGTCACAAGAAATAGATGCTGGTGCCATGCTTCCAGTACAGCCTGCAGAACTGTGAGGCAAACACATTTCTTGTCTTTAGAAGTTACCCAGGCTCAAGTGTTCCTTTAGAGCAACAAAAATGGACTAAGACAGCAACGTCCTGAGATCAGGAGGAACATCCCAGAACAGCCTGGGCTGTCTTCCTGTTCTTCCTGGAGGAGGACGTCATGCAGTGCTTTAGCTGAGTGCTTCCTGTGGCTCCAGGGTACAAAACCCAGGCTGGGCTGCTTTTTGATTTCCCCCAGATACACTGCATATGGGGTGACTCCACATGTCTCGAGCAGCTTTTCTGAGCCTTGAGGGACTGGCTCACATTGAAATGTAGGTTTCTGTTGTCACTCGCTGCTTATCTGTTAGTAATGAACCTGCCTGTGTAATGTGTTCTCTGTGTGTTCTGTCTCCCTGGAGTGACGGTGAGTGATAGGAATTGGTATAGGCCCAGGTGCATTCCAGGAGGTGTTTAGAATCTTCTCTGGGAAGACTGGATTGGGATTGATACACAGCGAATGTGCTTTACAGTTTCTACCACCACAACCCTCTTGACTCAAAAAAATTACATTCTCCAAGAAAAGAAAGAAAAAATGAAATCAAGATAAAAAAAGTGAAGTAGAACTGACTTAAATCAAACAGCCATGAAATAATGATGTAGCCCAGGAACAACATGCTACTTTTTGTGATCTGCTGAGACATATATTAGGCTGCTATTCCACCCGAGAAGCACGGGGAAGGACCGCCCTCTCCGTCGTTTATTGTTTCAATACAGCCTGTCCTTCTGTGAGTTAGTACGAAATGTGACCAGGGGCTAGTGCTGGCACTGGTCTCTGAGTCCAAGATCTGAGCTCACTCCAAAGAGTATTAGTGTTTACCTCCCCATGATCTATCTGTATCTCCATAGGTGATTGGAAGTAGAGATGAATTGGGGGATTTGGGTGAAGGGGCAAGTTTTATGCCATGAACAGAGCACGTTCTCTATTCCAGGACCTGTGCTGGTGGGTTCAGGAGGCTTTCACATTTTCCATATGATCCCAAGCTCACAGAAAGCCAAATAAGGAAGAGGTTTAACCTGATTGTTTAATGGATAAGATAAAGGGTCAAAGAATTAAACACAGAGAAATAGAAAAATGATGGTTGGTATCCAGTTGCCTTTGTAATTTCTGTGTGTCATAATTATGTATGTTTTATTTTTATTTTTTGAGACAGAGTCCCCCTGTGTCAGGCTGGAGTGCAGTGATGCGATCTCAGTTCAACCTCTGCCTCCAGGGTTGAAGCCATTCTTCTGCTTCAGCCTCCCCAGTCGCTGGGATTACAGGCAGGTGCCAATGCACCAGGCTAATTTTTGTATTTTTAGTACAGACGGGGTTTCACCATGTTGGCCAGGCTGGTCTCAAACTCCTACCCTTAAGTGATCTACCCGCCTTGGCCTCCCAAAGTGTTGGGTTACAGGTGTGAGCCCCCATCCACAGTCTTGTATATTATATTATACTAGGTCCCTTCATTTGCACCACCCCTCATGTGTCTATCGCTCCTCTGCCAGGTATTGATTTAGATGTAGAAAAAAAACACATCTCAGAAAGAAATTAATGAAACAAGGATTAAACTACTAGGAAAAATCAAACCCAGCAAGCCCTCCCTGCAAATGATTCTATCTCACAAGCATAGCTTATATCCATCTTTCATTCATTTAGTGTGTAAATCAACCCTACGTTTCACCAGTGGGGCGGGAATTGCCTTTTCCACCGTCTCCTAGATTCCAGTTACGCACCTGGGCCTCCCTTATTGTCATGTCGGTCACTATTAATCAGGTAGGGATTCCTAGTTAGCTCTGAGTTGAATCCAATGGCTGTGAGTATCAAACACACGCTCCTTGTTCCTCCTTAGTTTCCTGTGTACCCAGTGTGCTCTCCATCTCTCTACAGTTGTCTTGTCATTCTCCCCACTTCATTCCCAGCATTTGAGGCAGAGCCTCTTCCTTGAACTAAGAATGTTTCCACCTTTGTGCCTTCACGGCTGAGAGCTCAGTGTGGAAAATCCTTCCGCCAATCTTCCAAGGGTTGAATCCATTTTTTCCATTAAGGTCACAAATATTATCTGATCAGTGAGACCTTCTCTGTCACCTGAAATTATATACTCAGCATTATCTATTACTTATTTTAAATCCTGGCTGGGCGCAGTAGCTCTCGCCTGTAATCTTTGCACTTAGGGACGCTAAGGCGGTGGGATCACTTGAGATTGGGAGTTTGAGACAGCCTGCACAACATGGTGAAACCTCATTTCTACTAAAAAATATACCAAAAAAATTAGCCGAGTGTGGTGGCGCACAGCTGTAATCCCAGCTACTCGGTAGGCTGAGGCAGGAGAATTGCATGAACCCAGGAGGCAGAGGTTGCAATGAGCTGAGATTGTGCTACTGCACTCCAGCCTGTGGAACAGAGAGAGACTCTACTCAAAAAAAAAAAAGAAAACAAAACACACACACACACACAAAAAACCCCAGATTTGGTGCACAGATGCTTCCCAATGGATCATTCATTTATTGGTACCCTTGTGCATTCATTCTCTGCCCTCGCATTTACCCATCTGCAATATCAGCGTCCCAAGAGCAGAGGCCAAATGCATCCTGTTTACCATTTGTGGAAGGCAGGAGAATGCTGCCCCACCCCCAAAATGTCCCTGTCTTAGCCTCCATAGCTTGTGAATATGTTATTTTACAGGAAAGGAGGAATGAAGATTGCAGATGGCATTACGGTTGCTAATCAGCTGAACTTAAAAAGAGGGTACGCTGGATGATTTTAGGGAGATTGAGATGGATTATCTTGGTGACCCCAATAGAATCCCAAAGTCCTTAAAAGATGAGGAAGAAGGCAGAGCAGGATTCAGAGAAAAAGGTATGGGTAAAGAAGAAGAGTCTGAATGATGCCATGTGAGACGTGACCAGCCTTTGTGGGCTTTGAGGAAGGAGGAAGGAGGAAGGGGACCAGGGGCCCAGGAACGTGGGAGCCTCTAGGAGCTGGGAAACGTTAAGGAGCAGATTCTTGCTTGGAACCTTAAAAAGAAATCCAGCCTTACTCTCCCTTTGATATCAGCCCAGTGAAATGCAGTTCATACTTCTGAGTTACAGCACTGTGAGATAATTAAGAAAAACATGTTTTCATCCACGAAGCTTGTGGAAATTTGTTATGGCAACAATAGGAAAAGATTCCACACTGCACAGCCAGAGCATGGGGCATTGGCTGAACGAGTGAGTGAGTGGAAGTGTCGTGTGCATAAATAAGCTAAATTCTCTCTTACTGCACGTCTCTTGCTCTGCTGAGTCAACCAGGGTTGCATCTGGTACACTGCTGATACGAATGTAAATTAGTACAGCCATTACAGAGGAGAAGAGTATGGAAGTTCCTCAAAAAATAAAATGAGGTCGGGCACAGTGGTTCATGCCTGTAATCCCAGCACATTGGGAGGCCGAGGTGGGTAGGTCACTTGAGGTCAGGAGTTGAAGAGCAGCCTGGCCAATATAGCGAAACTCTGTCTCTACTAAAAATATAAAAATTAGCCGAGTGTGGTGGTGGGAGCCAGTAACCCAGCTACTTGGGAGGCTGAGGCTGGGGAATCTCTTGAATCCTGGAGGTGGAGGTTGCAGTGAGCCCAGATGGCACCACTGCACTCCAGCCTGGGCAACAAGAGTGAAACTGTCTAAAAAAAACAAAAACAAAAACAAAAACCATAAAACAAAATGTAAAAAGACACTTCCAGAGGATCTAGCAATTCCATGACTGGGTGTAAACCCAAAGGAAAGGACATCAGCGTATCGAAGTGACATCTGCACTCCCATGACTGTTCCAGCAGTGTTCACAGTAGCCAAGATGTGGATCAACCTACCCGCCCATCAGTGGGTGAATGGATGGAGAGAATGTGGTACACACACACAATAGGGACAACTCATCCATAGAAAGAGTAACATCCTGTCATTTACAGCCACATGAATGGAACTGGAGGTCATTACAAGTATTTCCATTTCTCACTCATATGCAGGAGCTAAAAGGTGGATCTCACAAAGGTAGAGAGTAGAATGGTGGCTACCAGAGGCCAGGAAGGGAAGGGTGGAGGGTAAAAAAAAAAGAATACTAATTAATTAATTAATTAATTTTGAGAGAGTGTCTCTCTCTGTTGCCCAGGCTGCAGTGCAGTGGCATGATCTCAGCTCACTGCAACCTCCGCCTCCTGCAATTAAGTGCAACTCCTGCCCAACCCTCCCAAGTAGCTGGGACTACAGGCATGTGCCACCATGCTCGGCTAATTATTATCATTATTATTATTATTTTGTATTTTTAGTACAGATGGATTTTCCCCATGTTGGCCAGGGTGGTCTTGAGCCCCTGATCTCAAATGATCCACCTGCCTTGGCCTCTCAAAGTGTTGGGATTACAACCGTGAGCCACCGTGCCCAGCCTATAAATGTATTTATGAACAGTAGACTTCACACTTAAAAATGGTAAAGGTGGTAAATTACATAGGTATATTTCACCTCAATAAATATTTCTTCAAACAAAAAGAAAAGGGTGTAGGCGTTGCTGGTGATGACATCTCTCTGTGGGTGACAGGCCAGGATGGGCTTCTGGGAAGTGGGTAAGGTTGAGGGGCTGAGAGAACCTCTGATCTCCCCAGGCAGAGCCCAGTCTCCCTCCTCTGGGTCTGTTCTGACCTCTTTCTCCATCTGCCTGGGTGCCTGGAACCCTGATCAAGGGCCTCCTTGCAGGCCATACAGGAGGGTTTGGAGGTGCCCTGTCTGCCATCCTGCGCCCTGACCCCACCCTTACACCCATGCTGTGTGTTCTGTCTCGGCATCTGTCCATGCTTCTCTCCATCATCAGCAGGAAGCTCCTCAGCTATGGCTCTAGGATCACAAGACATGGGACAGGCATGGTGTTTTCTCACCTGTGACAGAAACGGGCAGTGGGTCACTCGGGTCTGACCACGCGTGGGGCAGGGCACGGAAAGAGCCGAAGCATCTGTAGGTCCCTCCGTGGGTCACAGGGCCCAGAGGGAAGTTGGCCTGGAATGTTCCATTGACCCTCAGCACCGCAGTGAGCCTAAGTTCACCGGCCTCTGCCTCCCTGGATAGATGGTAAATGTCAAACAAGCTCCGGGAGCTGCAGGACAAGGTCACATTCTCTCCTGCCTGAACCGTGGGGCCCGGCTGGGCTGAGAGAGAAGGTTTCCCATATAGACCTGGAAGAAGAAGAGGTGGTTTCCTCAGGGAGGTTCTTCCTTGTCACAGCTCTCCTCACACCTGAGCTGAGAACTCACTCCCCTGCTCTATGACTTAATGCTCTCTTTCTCTCTCTCACCCTCCACCCCCATCTCTCTTCATGTCTATTTCCTCCTTCCACCTTCTCTGTCTCTCTAGGTCTCTGACCTCACTTCTCCATCCCTAGCTATGTTTTCTTTTTTTGTACCATTTTATTCTCTCTGACCCTCCTTGGACTGGTTGACTTGATCTTCCTCTTTCTTTAATTCTGAGTCTCTCACTTTCTGTCTTGCTCATAACTTTCTGCATATTTCTATCTACTATCTATTGATCGATCTATCATTTATCTATGTATGTATCTATCATCTATCATCATCTGTGTATCTATGACCTATCTCTCTGTTATCTATCATCTATCAATCAATGTATGTATGTATGCATCTATCCATCTATCATCATGTGTTTATCTGTCTTTCTATCTCTCTATATCTATTTATATATCATCTGTCTGTCTTTCTACTTGTCTATCTATATCATCTATCAGTCATTCATCATCTATTTGTCTATCACCTGTCTCTCTATTATCTATCATATACCTTTTATCTTTCATCTATCTATATCTATCTATCCATCTATCATCTGTCTCTCTCCATCTCCTTGTCTTTCTCTGCCTCTCAGTCTCTCTAGTTCCCTTTTGGAGTCTCTGCAATCCATCCCCACATCTTTATCTTTCCCTGTCTTTGTGCCCCTCCCTCAGGGCTCTGATTTTAGGGCTTTTCTCTGCTTCCTTCCATCATACGCTCCACTTCTCTGCCCTCTTTTTCTGTCTCTTTATGTGTCTGTGAGTCTCTCAATTCCCTTCTTCTGGCTCATTCTGTGTGTGTGTTCATGTCTTTGCTTTTTGATTTCCCTGATTTCACTCCGTGTCTCTCTGTGGGCTTTTGTTCTCAGTAATCCTATAACATGTGGTGCTATTTGAATATGAGCCTCAGAATCCAGTATGGGGACTCCAGGAACTCACAACATACAGGGGTTGGTGTTCTGCTCCCTCACCTGGGGCCATGGTGTCCTGGGACGATGACAGCTCCACTGCACGGAAGGCAGAGGTTTAAGAATAAACACAGCATCTGTAGGTGCCACCAGCCTGGGGCCACACGGCCCAACTCAGGCCAGATAGATGTGTCTCTTTGGGTTCTCCTGGGAGAGAACACTTTGTAGAGGTAAAACAGAATGGAACCTTCTAACCTGTGCCTGGTCTCTGAACAAAGTCAGCATAGAAGGACACCTCTCTCTGGGATATATCTGTCTCTCTGTGTCTTCTTTACCTCTTTATCTCTTTTTCTAACACCTTGTATGGCCCCTGTGTCTGGCTTCTATGTTATGACATGAGGTCTGTACTTGTGTCTCCTGTTTCTCTGCCTTTGTTGGTACAGACCTCACCAAGTCACTTTCTCTCCATAGGAACCCCACACTCATCTTCCTCATGACCACCTGGGGCTTCCAGTCCTAGATCATTCACTCCATCTCCCAGCAAGGGTGAGAGGCAGGTCTGTATTCTCTCACCTACGACCACGATGTCCAGAGGGTCACTGGGAGCCGACAACTCATAGGGTAAGTGAGTGACAGAACCAAAGCATCTGTAGGTCCCTGCAAGGGCAGGTGTCATGGGACCCATGGAATAGTTGACCTGGGAACCCGCATCGTGGAGCTGTCCAACGAGGCGCAAGGGGTCCTCAGTGATCCCCTCTCTGTGCAGAAGGAAGCGCTCAAACCTGACATCTGACCAACATTGCAGGATGACCGTCTCTCCCGATTTCACCAGGGGACCTGGGTGGGCCAGGAGGGAAGGTTTTCTGTGGACTCCTAAGAAGAGAGGTTGTGAGTTCAGAAGGTGTCTCCCTTTCTCATCCCATTCATGGGACCTGAAATAAGTGAGGCTTCCCCTCCATGGTGTCTATCTCTCTCCTTCCTCTCTGTGTCTCCGTGTTCTTTTGTGCCCATAACCCCTGTTGCAGGTCCCTCCATCTGTCTCCCTCCCTCTTCCCTGTCTCTCTGTCTCTAGTAGCCCTGATTCCCTTCCCACTGTGCTCAGTGTCACCTCTTAGGCTGTTGTATCTGTTTCCCACTAATCTCTTTCCTGGTGTTTATGTAGGGGTGGAAGAGGAACCACGACAGGCTGCATGTCCAGGCTCTTAGCAGCCTGAATCAATCTCTTTTGGACAGATTGGAAAGGCTGGCAGGAGGTACGAACTCATCAGTAAGGCAGGCATCAGTGTCCCTGTTCCTGATGGGGATTGGGAGCCTCTCCTGTCATGTCTGTGCCTTCTCCATGGCCCCAGCTTCCATAGGGTGGCCCCTGGTGCTGGTTCCAGGAGCATCAACCCCTCCCTATGTGGATCGAGCCTGGTGGTAGCATCAGTATCCCACCCATGCTAAAATCAGTGTAGCCAACCTTCTCCTTGTTTGGTTTCTTAACTTGTGCTTCACCTGGGTTCCTGTGTTGGTTTCCTGTTGCTGCTGGAGAAAATTGTCACAAACATGGGGCAGGAGAGAATACAATGACCCCTTCCACTTCTGGAGAACAGAAATCGGACCCAGTTCTCTCTGGGCTAAAATCAAGGCATCTACAGGGCTGTGTTTCCTCTGGAGACTCAGGGAAGAATCAGTTCCCTTGACTTCTCCAGCCCTTAGAGGCCAACTGCCTTTGTGGCTCATGGCCTTCCCCCATCTTCAAAGCCCGCTGTGGCTGATGGAGTCTCCCTCCCACGACGTTGCTCTAACCCCACTTTCCTCTTCCTCCTCCTCTCATGAGGACCCTTGTGATTACTCTGAGCACAGCAGGACAGTCCAGGCTGTCTCCCCATCGCAAGGTCAACTCATCAACAACCTGAGCTCCATCTTCCCCTTCAGTCCCCTGCCCTATGACATAAATAGTCACAGGGTTCATGGATTACCATGTAGCCATCACTGGGGACAATTATTCTTCCCACCACAGCAACTATTTCTCTGTACTGAATCCCCCTTTACCCCAAATACAGTCTGGGCCTGGATGATTGGACCCTGATGGACGCCCCCACCAGAAGCTCTGGGATTCAGGAGGTGGGACAGTGAGAAGCCCAGACAGAAAGCCTCTGACCTGTGACCATGATCACCACAGGGTTGCTGGGTGCCGACCACCCAGTGGGGGAGTGTGGGTGTGAACTGCAACATCTGTAGGTCCCTGCATGTGCTGGGGTCACAGGGCCCATGAGAAAGCTGTTCCGGAATATTCTGTTGTAGAGCTCAGGGACAGGCATCCCGTCTTCTTTGGACAGACTGAATTCGTTAAACCCAAGACGAGAGCGACACTGAAGAGTCACATGTTGTCCTTCAGACACCACAGTGCCGGGCCAGGCAGAGAGGAAGGGCTTGTCCTGACCACCTGGGGGAGAAGGAGGCACTACCTTAGAGAGGAGGATGTGGAGCCGCCCCTCCCTCCCTGTGCTCAGAAGATTCTCCCATTTCCACGTTTCTAAGGCTCCTACCACACCTGGGTGCCCAGGGCTACAGGAAGGACCCATCCCGCATAGACATGGCGTCTCCCTACAGCAAGTGTCAGCTGAGAACTTTGAGCAGGTGCTGAAGAAGCGACTCTTACTAGATTTTAACACTGCAAAATTACTTACATAAAAGAACACAAGGTAGACACAGGATGGAGGGCATGATCAGCTAATGCATGAACCATAATAAACAACTGAGCCCCTATTAGAAGATCTGGAATGTCAGGGTCATGACTGTGGTTCCCCCACCTCTTAGGTAGAATGACAGCAGCCACATTGCAGCCCCTACCGTCATGGAAACGCTGGAGGGTGTGAGTTATGCTCTTGTCCTCAGAGGCCTGTTGTTCCTTGCACTGCTTCTCTCCCTTCCTCTGCCGGTGACACCACTTCCTCCCTGCACACCACTCCTTTGAGCACTTCAGTCTCCCCCTGGGTCCCCACAGACTCAGCCAAGGGAAAGAAAGGCCGGGGAGGGCTAGGACAGAACTGTGGCGAAGCTTCCCCTGGCTTCCTTTTCCTAGTTCATGAGAGATTCCCACATGGCTTCCCATGGTCAGCCCATCAGTCAACCCCCTGTGTCGCCTGCCTCCCGTTTCAGGAACATCATCTTATGTGGGGAGATGACAACCTAAGGTTTGGGGGAAGGACTCACCTACATGTGGCCAGGGCCCCTCCAGCAAGAAGAACCCTGGAAAGAAAGATCATGATGGATGATCCATCTGTACATCACCTCCAGGCCCATATCTCCACTCCAGGCCCATATCTCCACCTCCGTCCTATATCTCTACTCCAGGCCCATATCTCCACTCCAGGCCTATATCTCCACCTCTGTCCTATATCTCTACTCCAGGCCCATATCTACACTCCAGGCCCATATCTCCACCTCCAGGCCTGTATCTCCACCTCCAGGCCCGTGTCTCCATTCCAGGCCCATATCTGCACTCCAAGCCAACATCTCCACTCCAGGCCCATATCTCTACTCCAGGCCCATATCTACAGTTCCAGGCCCATATCTCCACCTCCAGGCCCATATCTCCACTCTAGGCCCATATCTCCACCTCCAGGCCCGTATCTCAATTCCAGGTCCATATCTGCACTCCAAGCCAATATCTCCACTCCAGGCCCATATCTACAGTTCCAGGCCCATATCTCTACTCCAGGCCCATATCTCTACTTCAGGCCCATATCTACAGTTCCAGGCCCATATCTCCACTCCAGGCCCATATCTCCACCCCAAGCCCATATCTCCACTCCAGGCCTATATCTCCACTCCAGGCCCATATCTCCACTCCAGGCCCATATCTCCACTCCAGGCCCAGATCTCCACCCCACCGCTCCCTCCCTCGATTCCCTTCCAGGACTCACCAACACACGCCATGCTGACGACCATGAGCGACATGGTGCTGCCGGTGCAGACAGGCGGCTGCGCCCCAGCTCAGTTCAGCAGCACACAGGATGTTGTGAGGGGCTCATGCAGTTTACATGCTGACCACATCATGGGAGGATGAGGTATGCAGGCTATTTCTACCTTGCATGAGGCCCAGTGGCTGTTTGGTCAAGAGCAGAACATGGCTTCCTGGAAATTGTTCCAACTAGAATTGACACCTTGCATCCTTCACTATAACCAACTCAAAACACGTCTCAGATCCAATCTCTCATACAGGAGATGACTGAATGCTTGGCTTACATTAAAGACTTTTGATGTATTTTTGTTGTTTTTATCTGAGATTCAAACTCTTCTTCATGTGCTATTTTCCCCAGGCTGTTCTTTGACTTCAGAGTTCAAGCAATCCTCCTGCCCCAGCATTTCTAGCAGCTGGCAGTATGTCACAATCTGCCACACCCAAGTCACAACTTTTAGAACTTTTTTTTTTTTTGAGACGCAATCTCACTTCGTCACCCAGTTTGGAATGCAGTGGTGAGACCTCGGCTCATTGCAGCCTCCACCTCCCAGGTTCACGCAATTCTCGTGCCTCAGCCTCCTAAGTAGCTGGATTTACAGGCACCCACCACCACGCCCACCTAATTTTTGTACTTTTAGTAGAGAGGAGGTTTCTCCATGTTGGCCAGGCTGGTCTTGAACTCCTAACCTCAAGTGATCTGTCTACTTCAGCCTCCCAAAGTGCTGAGATTACAGGTGTGAGCCACCATGCCTGGCCGGGACATTCTATATGTGTGCGTATGTGTGCATTTATATACATATGGTTATACACACACACACACACACACACACACACACACCCTAAGCACTCACATATATAGTTGTTTCAAATTTTAAAAAATATAAATTTTGTATTTTTCTTTCTTTTTCTCACATTTGTGTTTCTATGACACCATATACATATTGAATTTTATAGCTCTATTTTATTCTTTTGGATTGCAGTTTAATAGTCCATGCATAACTTTATCAACATGTAATTATCCATTCTTTTTATCATGGACATTTGTGTTGTTTCCGGATTTTCTCTTTTATAACTCGGGCCTTGATAATCGTGTTTCTGTGTGATCCCTTGCATACATATGCTGAATTAATTAGACATATTTACCTAGAAATGAAATTATTGGTTTTGGGTGCAAGTTGGTGTTGAGCTTAACCAGGAAGTGCCAAAATATTTCCATCATGACCAAATGTGGCCTGGAAAGTTTTTTGGGGTCAATTTTCCTGTTTCTTCTAAGGAACAAAATTGATGTCACTGATTTTTCTGTCCTGTTTGTCATTTATGAATGTATGTACATATGCACGTATATATTTGCTTGCCATTTTATGTTTTTCCTCGACGTTACTTTGGAATTAATTTGCTGATGTGTAGTATTTCTGCAAGTGAAAGTTACCTATTTACTCAGCTCTTCCTTCTTTTCTAACACAGACATTTGAGGCTTATTGTCCCTTAACGCTGTTCTATCTGTATCCCCAGTCATTTGCCGAGATGTGTTTTCATTTTTAATTGATACAAAATATTTTCCACCTTTCTTTGAAATGTTTTTCTTCCACTCATTGTTTATTGCTATGTGTGTTTATTAATTTTAAAATATTTGATAATTTCCCCAGCATTTCCTTGTTGTACATTTATAATTTAATTCAACTGTTTCATCTATCATATTACCTATGATTCAGCATTTAAAAATTTATTTTGGTGAATGTTCCAGGGGTGCTAGACAAGTTTGTGGATTAGGAAGATTTGAGGTGGATGTTTTCTAAATGTCAGTTAAGAAAAAAATCATTCAAATGTTTTTCTTTATTTAAAAAAAATAGAGACGGGGTCTCACTATGGTGCCCAGGCTGGTCTCAAACTCCTGGCCTCAAGTGATCCTCCCATTTTGGCCTCCCAAAGTGCTAGGATTATTGAAATTATTAAATGTTTCATATCAACACCCAACCTTATGCACCCGCCGCCTACACAAATGTTTTTCAGGTCTTTCATATGCTTAATAATTTTCTGTGTACTTGTTCTGGAAGTGAGGTGAATGTTGCTATCTCTAGCTGCAATTTGGATGTGATTGATTATGTTTTGAATTGTGCCTTTAATTTAATGTGTTTTGAGGTTCCAGCTTTAGGTGTGTAGGCATTTAGGATGATTATGTCTTATTTATGAATTTGCCTCTTTGTCATTATGAAGTACTCCTCTTCATATCTCCATATATCTCTTCTTTGTATGTGCATGGTGAAATATTTCATTCTTTGAGTTAAGAAACTTCTATTGAGGAATACTTTTTATTACAAACATTTACCTATTCTATGTATACAACTGACTAGAAGCATATTTTGCACTGGGCATTATCATGACAAGGTAATGTCATTCTTTCAATATTTACATCTTGTGGATTAGTATTTGAAGTGCAGCTTATGCAGACAGCATAAGGTTGGGTGTTGATATGAAACATTTAATAATTGCACACGTATTTGCCTCTTGGGATACTTCCACTTTTTTGAATTTCAAGTTACTAAATGGTATCATTAATCTTTGCTTCAAGAGCTTAACATTTATTGTAGAACAATGCTTCATGTAATAAATTGTGAGACATTTTTAATGGCACCTTTATTGCAGGAAAATGTTTTCCTTTTCAGGTTGAAAGATTCTAGTTTGAAATATTTTCTTGTAGCACTTTAAAAATGTTGGTCCACCTGTTTCTTACTTTCATAGTTTTGAATACAAAGTTTGCTGTCATTCTTGTATTTCTTCTTCTGTTTTTTATTTATTTATTTTTGACAGAATATCTTGCCGTCTCACCCAGGCTGGAGTGCAGTGGCATGATCTTGGCTCACTGCAACCTCTGCCTTCCAGGTTTCAGCAATTCCTGCCTCAGCCTCCTGAGTAGCTGGGACTACAGGCATGCGCCACCATACCCAGCCAATTTTTTTTTTTGTATTTTTTTTTGTAGAGATGAAGTTTTGCCATATTGGCCAGAACTCCTGACCTCAAATGATCCACCTGCTTTGGCCTCCCAAAGTGCTGGGATTACAGGTGTGAGCCACTGTGCTCAGGCTATTTATTCCTTTTTATATAATATGAATTCACATTCATACATACCAGGGGTTAGGATTTCAACAAACGTTTCTGGGGGAGACCACTCAAAACACAGCACTCATCCTTGGTTATTTCCAGCCATGGAGCCTGTATCAATATCCTGGTGAATTATCTAAGCTGTCCACCTACCTACCCCAAATCCTCATGGTCACATAAAAGGCTAGTATAGTATAATAATTTTTCTTTCCCTGCTTATCTACAGTGATGAAGAAACGAATATTCAAAGGGAAAAATCTTAGCTTTAGGTATAGGGTAATTCTTCTTCCTATTTTTAAATAACTTCAACCTTTACTGTAGATTAAAGGTATGCATGCAGGTTTGTTACATAGGCATATTGTGTGACTCTGAGGTTTGTGGTTCCAACAATGCCATCACCCAGGCAATGAGCATAGAATCCAACAGGTGTTTCTTCAGCCTATACCTCCCTACTCCTCCCCCCATCTGTAGTCCTCGGTATCTGTTGTTTCCATCTTTATGTTCATGTGTATTCAATGTTTGGTTCTCAGTTATAAGTGATAACATGTGGTATTTGGTTTTCTGTTCCTGGATTAGTTCACTTAGGAGATTGACCTCCTGCTACATTCATGTTGCTGCAAAGGACATGATTTCATTATTTTTTATGGCCATGTAATGTTCCATGTGTATATGTAGCACATTTTCTTTAACTAATCCACTGTTGGTGAGCACTTAGGTTGACTGCAAATCTTTGCTATTCTGAATTGCACAGCAATGAATATACTAGTGCATGTGTCTTTTTGACATAGTTAATTACCTTCCTTTTGGTATATACCCAGTAGTGGGATTGCTTGATTGAATAGTAGTTCTATTTTAAGTTATTTGAGAAGTCTCCAAACTGCTTATCACATTGGCTGAACTAGTTAACATTCCCACCAAGAGTGTATAAGTGTTCCCTTTTCTCCACAATCTTGTCAGCATCTGTTATTAAAAAAAACAAAAAACTTTTTAGTAATTGCTTCTGCTTCTCTGATTGTTGTGAGATGGTATCTCACTGTGGTTTTAATTTGCATTTCTCTGATGATTACTGATAATAAGCATTTGTTCATATGTTTTTTGGCCATGTGTACATCTTCTTTTGAGAAGTGTCTGTTCATGTCATACTTAATTGAGGTTTTTTGGTTTTCTGCTTGTTGATTTGTTTACATTCCTTATAGATTCTGGATATTAGAACTTTGTCAGATGCATAGTTTGCAAATATTTTCTCCCAGTCTGTAGGTTATCTGTTTACTCTGTTGATACTTTCGTTTGCTGTGCAGAAGCTCTTCAGTTGAGTTAGGTCCCAATTTCTGTCTTTGTCACAATTGGTTTTGGGGAGTTAGCCATAAATTCTTTGCCAAAGTCTATCTTGAGAAGGATATTTCCTAGGTTTTCTTCTAGAATTTTAATATTTTGAGGTTTTACATTTAAATCTTTAAACTATCTTGGGTTAATTTTTGTATATAGTGAGAGTTAGGGGTCCAGTTCTATTATTTTGCATATGAGTAGTCAGTTATCCCAGAACTATTTATTGAAGAAAGGGTACTTTCCACATTGCTTGTTTTTGTCAATTTTTTCAAAGATGATTGTAGGTATGTAGCCTCATTTCTGGGTTCTCTATTCTGTCTCATTGGTCTATGTGTCTGTTTTTGTAGTAGTATCATGCTGTTTGGGTTACTATAGCATTGTAGTATAGTTTGAAGTTGGGTAATGTGATGCCTGGGCTTTGTTCTTTGTGCTTAGGATTCCTATGTGTATTCAGGCTCTTTTTTTGGTGCCAAATACATTTTAGAATAAATTTTTATAATTTCGTGAAAAATGACATTGCATTTTGAAATGGATAGCATTGAGTCTGCAATTTGTTTTTGGAAGTATGGCGATTTTAACTATTTGTTCTCCTAATTCATGAGCATGGAATATTCTTCCATTTGTTTGTATCATTTCTTATTTCTTTCAGAAGTGTTTTGTAGTTCTCCTTGTAGAGAATTTTCACCTTCTTGGTTAGATGGATTCCTAGGTATTTTATTTTCTTTGTGGCTAGTGTAAATGGAATTGTGTTCTTGATTTAGTTCTCAGCTAGAATGTTAGTGGTGCATAGAAATGTTACTAATTTGTGTACATTTTTTTAATCCCGAAACTTTATTGAATTTGTTTATCAGTTTCAGGAGCCTTCTGACAGAGTCTTTAGGGTTTTCTATGTATAAAATTATTTCATCAGCAAAGAGAGACAGTATCACTACTTCTTTTCCAATTTTAATGCCTTTTATTTCCTTCTCTTGCCTGATTGCTTTGGCTAGGACTTCCAGTACCATGTTGAATTAAAATGGCGGGAGTGGTCATCCTGGTCTTGTTTCGGTTCTCAAGGGGTATGGTTCCAGCTTTTGCCCATCAATATGATGTTGGCTGTGGGTTTGTCATAGATGGCTCTTAATATTTTGAGGTATGTTCCTTTGATGCCTATTGACAGTTTTTATCATGAAGGGATGTTGGATTTTACAGAAAGCTTTTTCTGCATCTATTGAGATGATCATATAGTTTTTGTTTTTAATTATGTTTATGAGGTGAATCACATTCGTTGACTTTGTAGGTTGAACCAACCTTGCATCCCAAAAATAAAGCTTACTTGATCATGTGAATTAACTTTTGATGCACTGACAGATTCAATTTGCTAGCATTTTGTTGAGGATTTTATGTCTATGTTCATTAAGGATATTTAGTTGTAGTTTTCTTTTTTTCATTATGTCTCTGACAGATGTTGGTATCATGGTGATGATGGCTTCATAGAATGAGTTAGGAAGAAGCCCCCACTCCTTGATTTTTTCCAAAAGTTTCAGTAAGATCGGTATCAGTTCTTCTTTGTATGGCTGTTGGATTTTGGCTGTGAATCCATCTGGTCCTGGGCTATTTTTAGTTAGTAGGGTTTTTATTACTGATTAAATTTCTGAACTTGTTATTGGTCTGTTCAGGTTTTCACTTTCTTCCTGGTTGAAATATGATAAATTTTGTGTTACCAGGAATTTATCCATTTCTTCTAGGTTTTCTAGCTTGTTTGTATAGAGGTGTTCATAATAGTCTTTGACGATCTTTTCTATTTCTGTGGGATTGTTCGTAACATTGTTTTGTCAGTTCTATTTGTGTTTATTTGGATCTTTTCTCTTTTTCTTTGTTAATCTAGCTAACAGTCTATGAATTTTGTTTATTTTTTTTCAAAGAAAAACTCTTGGTTTTATTTATCTCTTGTATGGACTTTTTGGTCTCAATTTATTCAGTTCTCTCTGACTTTAGTTATTTCTCATCTTTTGCTGGCCTTGGGTTTGGACTGTTCCTTTTTTTTAATAGTTCCTCTAGATGCAGTGTTAAGTCACTAATTTGAGATCTTTCTAAACTTCTGATGAGGCATGTATTGCTATAAATTTTCCTCTTATCACTGCTTTAACTGCATCCCAAAGGTTTTGGTAAGTTTGTTTCTATTTTTATTAATTTTAAATAATGTTTTGTGATTTCTGCTTTAATTTCATTGTTCACCCAAGAGTTCTCAAGGGGTACAGTTCCAGCTTTTGACCATTCAATATGATGTTGGCTGTGGATTTGTCATAGATGGCTCTTAATATTCATTCAGAAACAAGTTGTTAAATTTCCATGTTTTTCTGTAGTTTTGAGAGATCATCTTGGTATTTTTTTCTATTTTTATTGTGTGCCTTGTTATGATTTTGATTCTTTGAATTTATTGAGACTTGCTTTGTGGCCAGTCTTAGAATATGATATGTTTTTTGTGTGTGCAGATAAGAAGAATCTATATTCTGCAGTTGTTGGGTGGAGTACTCTGTAGATGTCTATGAGGTCCAATTGGTCAAGTGTTGTCTTTAAGACCAGAATTTCTTTGTTAGTTTTCTGTTTTAGTGATTCATCTGACGTTGTTAGTGGGATACTGAAGTCCCTTACTATTATTGTGTGGCTGTCTAACTCTTTTCATAGGTGAAGAATAACTTGTTTTATGAATCGGGGTGCTCCAAATTTGGGTGCATATATATTTAGAATAGTTAAGTCTTCTGTCAAATTGAACCCTTTATCATTTTGTAATGCCCTTCTTTGTCCTTCCTGATTGCTGTTGATTTAAAGTGTGTTTCATGTGATATAAGAATAGGAATGCCTTCCTTTTTTTTGTTTCCTGGTTGCCTAGTAAATATTTCTTCATCCTTTTACTTTGAGCCTGTGGGTGTCATTACATGTGAGATGGGTCTCTTGAAGACAGCAGGCAGTTGGCTCTTGGCTTTTTATCCACGTTGCCACTCTATGCCTTTTATGTGGGGAATTTAGGCCATTTACATTTCTTCTCCTGATATATCCTTTTTATATTTTTATGATTGCCTTTTAAAATATATTGAATGGTTGTAATTCCAGGGAAATGTCTTTCAGAACAGTATTTATTCCCATCTACATGTTTTGGAGAGTGCACTAGGGGACATTGAAGTTTATTTCCTGAAAAGAGTTTAATTTTAAAATGTATTTTATTTAATAACTCAATGATTCAGGGAATGTCTAGGTATTTCAGAGATTGTTTTAGACAGTTTGTTTTCTTGTGATATGTGACCACTTCATCTAAGCTGAATAATGTCTTCATAATGTCCACTTAGAATCTTTTGAATTCTGTAGGATCTGTACTGATGTCATTGTTTCCTTTCTGATATTGGTAATTTTCCTGGGGTAGGATTCTTAGCTCCTCCTGAGGTCCTGCCTCTAAAATTCAGGGAACAATGAGTCAGATTAGTACTCTGATTTCAAAGGGAAAGCTGATCATCTACCATTTTTTGTTTATGTAAATGGACACATTAACATCCCTTGTCTGAACCTTAGTTACCTTGTTTGGAGCATTTTGCTATAAATCTCACTTCTCAGAGTGGTTGTGGGGCTTGATGTGGCTGGGGTATGGGATGGCTTAAACATAATTTATTTCCAGACCAGGTTAAGGCATGAAGGGGTTGGGACTTGTTAGAATCCTGTTGTCGGACTCCACAGTAAGGGTAGACATTTGAGGCACCCAATCAAAAACCTCAGTTGTTCCTAGCACTGAGAAATTTGATAGAATGTTTCTAAAACATTATTCATGGTCTAATGCACAAAAAGTAAAGTGATAGCCCTGGAAGTAGACAGGGAACCATAAGAAAAAAGAGAGAGCAAAGCTCAGTGGTCACCAGTGCCTGGGACCATCAAGGGGTTATTAAGGAGGAAGTTTCCACCTCTGTGGGGAACAGAAGAGGCTCCCTAGGGTCCACACACACAGGGAGTGAGCCAAGACTCTGGGCGAGGCTGGAAGCTCTGGGTCTCCTTCTGTGAGATTTTCTTTTTTTTTTTTGAGATGGAGTCTTGCTCTGCCACCCAGGCTAGAGTGCAACGGCGCGATCTCGGCTCATGGCAACCTCTGCATAAAGTGGTATGTATTTAAGGCATGCATTAGACAAATTACTAAGTATTTACTAGATAAGAAAAAATTATATCTGAATCTTTTCAAATTGCCGTCTTATGCATTATATTCTCTTTTTATAGTGCAATTTCTTAATAGTTAATGCCAGAAGATTTTTTTTTCTTCCTTTCTTTCTTTCTTTTTTTTTTTTTTTTGAGACAGAGTCTCACTCTGTTGCCAGGCTGGAGTGCAGTGGCACGATCTCGGCTCACTGCAACCTCCGTCTCTCGGGTTCATGCCATTCTCCCGCCTCAGCCTCCTGAGAAGCTGGGACTACAGGCACCCTCTACCATGCCCAGCTATTTTTTTTTTTTTTTTTGTATTTTTAGTAGAGACGGGGTTTCACCATGTTCGCCAGGATGATCTCTGTCTCTTGAACTCGTGATCCACCTGCCTTGGCTTCCCAAAGTGCTGGGATTACAGGCATGAGCCACTGCACCTGGTCGCCAAAAGATATTTTTAAAAACCTAAATGCCACTTGAAATGAATAAGACCCTCAATAATTCATGGGATATACATGTGAACTTATGACATATGATGAAATAAGCAGGTTACAAAATTGTAATATATCAAGCAAGGTAGAAAGCCATGGCAGAAAAAGAGACAAGCATTTTCAAGATAAGGAATGAAAGAGGGGAAACAGTACTATTGATTTTACAGATTTTACAAAGATATCTTAGGTGTGTTTTCCTAAATAATAAATGTACCCTCCTTTTGACCTTTATGTAATGAAATAACCATGCACACATTTTCAAATAATACTTCATTTACTTGACTTTATGCTTGAAAATTGAAGTATGGTGCTGTTTGTTATTTTCATTTATGCATTTTACTACCTTGTAATATTCCACTGAGTCTATTTACCACACTATGTTTATTTTTTTCGTAGGTGGACTTTGGTATTTTATAGCTTTGGCTAATAGGAACAGCATTCCTATAACAGTTGTGAGTGTATCATGACACATAAGTAGACATTTATCTCTAGGGTACATAATTAAGTACATAATTAAGAAGGGTCACAGCCATGTGCCTCCTCTTTTTAACTAGATAATTCCAATACACTTCCTTAATTGATTAAAGCAATTTGTACTCTTACTATTAATGTACTAAAATTCTACATGTTCAATATTCTTTCCAAAAAATGATTTTGCTACTTTTTTCTTTTCTTGAGACTGAGTCTTGCTCTATCACCCAGGCTGTAGTGATCTCGGCTCACTGCAACCTCCGCCTCCTGGGTTCATGCGATTCTCGTGCCTTGGCCTCCCAAGTAGCTGGGATTACAGGCAGGCGCCACCATGTCTGGCTAATTTTTGTATTTTTAGTAGAGACAGCGTTTCACCATGTTGGCCAGGCTGGTCTCGAACTCCTGACCTCAGGTGATCCTCCTGCCTCGGCCTCCCAAAGTGTTGGGATTACAGGCATGAGCCACCACACCCGGCCTATTTTTTTCTTTTCCCTCCATTGTGCTATGATTTTTGACATTACAATTTTACTGAAACTACACCATAAGAATGAAGCAGAAATTATTATAACCTTTAAATAAACTTTACAACTGGTTCATACTCGTGTGAACGACAATTCTTTTGACTACTTCCCAACTGTGCATTCAATGGCGTCATATGGGCACCCTGAAGTTGGCCATAAAGGACGTATTTATACCACACTAATCAGCAAATACCATAAATCTGGGGCTTTATATGTTCAGAGTTTTCTTAAGAAAATAATTTTTTCAGAGAGCCAGTTTAACAGAATACCATGAGGCTGAGCCTTCGAGCGTTAGTGTGCTCATTCTGAGAGATGATATTTCTGGACAAAGTACACAGGTATCATCCGATGAAGAGTGAAGGGAATTCAGGGTCCAGAGAGGGTGCTAGGGCATCATTTCAGACTCATATTTCCCTTTTTTTTTTTTTTTTTGGAGATGGAGTCTTGCTCTGTTGCCCAGGCTGGAGTGCAGTGGCAAGATCTTGGCTCACTGCAACCTCCGCCTCCCGGGTTCAAGCTATTCTCCCGCCTCAGCTTCCTGAGCAGCTGGGATTACAGGTGCTCACTGCCACACCCAGCTAATTTTTGTATCTTTTAGTAGAGACAGGGTTTCACCATGTTGGCCAGGTTGGTCTCGAACTTCTGACCTCAAGTGATCCGCCCACCTCAGCCTCCCAAAGTGCTGGGATTACAGGTGTGAGCCACTGTGCCTGGCCTCAGACTCATGTTTCAAAGTCCCAAATACAAATCTGCCCACCTATTCCAGTTATTTAATCCAGATCTATGCTCAGAACTGAAAAGATGGAGAATCAATAGTTCACTTTAGAGAATGCGGTAGTTGGAAACAAAGACAAATGTATTACATGACAGTGGACCAGAGCACGTGATCGCAGGGGTGTGGATGCAAACCCACCATGGGGGACGTGCCTTCACATCACAGAGAGCGAAAGGAAGGGAGGGGCAGACACGGAGGATCCACAACAGCAGGACTGAAAGCACTGCCATTTAATGGAAGTTTAATGGAGGAAGCGTTCTCTACAGGCACCCAGACATCTTCCTGAACCTGACCCAAGCCTCCCCTTCTCGACTTTCTCAGTAGACGGTTTCCCGAATGATGGTCCAGACTTTCTTCCAGAACCTCCTAGGACTATCAGATTCATTGCCAAGGCTCTGGCACTCTGAAGGGTGCATTGTTCTCTCATGTATTTACCTCCTTGCTGCATCTTGGGGACTTCTCTAGCTGTGCCAGTCCTAAAGCAGCAGAATCCCGAGGACCACCAGGACCAAGCCAGCCACAGCCACGCGGATGAGATTCTCCACTGTGTAATCCTGGGGGTGTGAGGCTGGGGATGGTGGACCAAGAGGTCTCAGAGGTCAGGGCAGATCAACATCACCCGGGACCCCTGGATGTCCACCCAGGGCACCCACCTCCCCTTCACAGGACCTGACCCTCTGTGCCAGCCCCATAACCGAGAGCATCTCCTTACACACCAGTCTTGGAGTCTGTCTTGTTTTGCGATGGGCTGAGGGTCTCAGCTGCTCCTGAGAATCAACCAAAAAAGGGGGAGGTGTGTGAGGAGTTGAAGAGACTTAAGCCAACATGTCCCTCAGTTGCTGCATTCCTTTGTGTCTACACTTCTCCTAACTGCTCTGTAGTTGTGTGATAGAACCTTTCCCTGCCGTGGCAGAGGTACATTCGCATACATACATACATATATGCATAGGTGTAAATATGTGTGTATACATAATATGTGTTATGCATATGTGTATACATAATATGTATTATGCATATGTGTATAGATAATATGTATTATGCATATGTGTATGCATAATATGTATTATAAGATATAGTGTGAGTATATATAAATATATAATATATAAGATATATAATAGTGTGTGTATACATATAAATATATAATAAGATATGTAATAGTGTGTGCATATATAAATATATAATATATAATAAGATATATAATAGTGTGTATATATAAATATATAATACATAATATATTATAAGATATATAATAGTATGTATATATAAATATATAATACATAATATATAAGATATATAATAGTGTGTGTATATATAAATATATAATACATTATATATTATAAGATATATAATAGTATATATAAATATATAGTACATAATATATAATAAGATATATAATAGTGTGTGTATACATATAAATATATAATAAGATATGTAATAGTGTGTGCATATATAAATATATAATATATAATAAGATATATAATAGTGTATATATATAAATATATAATACATAATATATTATAAGATATATAATAGTATGTATATATAAATATATAATACATAATATATAAGATATATAATAGTGTGTGTATATATAAATATATAATACATTATATATTATAAGATATATAATAGTATATATAAATATATAGTACATAATATATAATAAGATATATAATAGTGTGTGTATACATATAAATATATAATAAGATATGTAATAGTGTGTGCATATATAAATATATAATATATAATAAGATATATAATAGTGTATATATATAAATATATAATACATAATATATTATAAGATATATAATAGTATGTATATATAAATATATAATACATAATATATAAGATATATAATAGTGTGTGTATATATAAATATATAATACATTATATATTATAAGATATATAATAGTATATATAAATATATAATACATAATATATAATAAGATATATAATAGTGTGTGTATATATAAATATATAATACATAATATATATTATAAGATATAATAATGTGTGGGTAATATAAATATATAATACATAATATATAAGATATATAATAGTGCATATATAAATATATAATACATAATATATATTATAAGATATAATAATGTGTGGGTATATATAAATATATAATACATAATATATATTATAAGATATAATAATGTGTGGGTATATATAAATATATAATACATAATATATAAGATATATAATAGTGTATATATAAATATATAATACATAATATATATTATAAGATATATAATAGTGTGTGAGTATATATAAACACATACATATATATTTGAAGTGAGAAGAGTATTATATAATTTAGAAACAAACAAGTTTGTCCTCCATTTTCTTGTGGTTAATGTAATTATTATCAATAAATCAGAAGAGATCATTTCGGAAAGGATTGAAAGGGAGTGTGTCTGTGGTAAGTTAATAGGAACTAAAATTAGCATACCCAAACCAATAGCTTTCTCATCCATACGTAACTAATTTTAGAAAATAGAAAGGAATCAAAGACTTTCAAATTATTCAAGTAGTAAAACAATGCTTAAAATTCACAATGTCCACAATTTTTATGAATACAACTTCAAGCATCTGCTAACTGTATAAAGTTTAATTTTAAATGTATTGGATACAAAGACATTATTAATGAGAAGTTATTCTCCATCATGAATGCACATATTTAATTTAATCCCAAAGAAAATCAGAGCACAGTTATTTTACATCATAACGCTACCTAACAAATTAAATGTGTAAATTATAAATGCCAGCATTGCTTTGAAATCTTCAGAAACAGAAAGAGAAACTAGATATGTGGACATAAAAAATAAAGGACAGAAAGGAATTGCACACGAGGTTTGCTGTTGAATAATTTGCCTGCATTGCTGCAGTGAGCAGGTGCATGATCTCCCCTTCGTCTCAGGTATGCACTGAGTATTTTGGGGCCGCCAGGGGAGCCCAGGTGGGGAGTGGGTGGGGCCTCCATCTTCTACCCTCAGCCTAAGCATGATTCCTCCAAGGTTTCTCCATATCTCATTTCAGCCCTCCCTGGCCTTTAGCCCCATCTGAGGTCTCTGGGGTGGGAGCCCAGGATTAGGAGGTCCCTGACTATTTCCACCCTCTCATGGGCTGGGCCCTCCCCTGCCGACCCTCCCCCTTTACTCCCCTCTTTCCTTAGCGTCCTGAGCTCTCCTGGGGGCAGGGCCTGAGCTGAGGTTTGAGCTCAGAGAGGACAGGGTCAGCGGCCTCACCTGAGACCACGAGCTCCAGGGGGTCACTGGGGTGAGACAGCAGGTAGGGGAAGAATCTGCGTGAGCTGTAGCACCTGTAGGTCCCCGCGTGGGCTGAGGTCACAGGACTCATGGGGAATTCAGCCTGGTGCTGCTGAGCTTGGTGCTCTGATCTCAGACGCAGTGGGTGATGGGCTGCCCCCTCCTTGGTCAGAAGGAAAGTGTCCAACTGCTCCCGTGACTGACACAGCAGGGTCACGTTCTCTCCTGAGGCCACCGTGGGGCCCGGCTGCACCGAGAGGGAGGGTCTGCCACGGATCTGTCCTGGAGAGAAGAAGGATGGGTGAGGGGCTGCCCCACCTCGTTCTGAGCTGACACCTCCCCAGGCCTCTCCCTGGGACCCTCAGTGTCTCTGTCTCTGTTTTCTCTGAGTCTCCCCCTCCCCGCCCATCCCCTGTCTCTGTCTGTCTCTCCGTCCCTTAGGACCCCCACCCCTCATCCCGGCCATCACCACCTGGGCTCCCCCAGCAGGGCCTGTGCGGAGCCTGGGTCCCTGACTGAACCTGCTGGGCTCCTCACCTGCGATCAGGATGCTCAGGGGGTCACTGGGGGCCGACCACTCGGAGGAGAGGTTGTGTGCACCGTAGCATCTGTACTGGCCCCCGTGGGAGACCCTCACAGGGCCCAGGGTGAAGTTGGCCTGGGAGAGCCCAGCCTGGGGCTGCCGGCCAGAGCCCTGGACGAGGTCATGTCCCCCCTCCTTGTACAGAGTGAATTTGTCATAGCCGACATCAGAGCCACACTGGAGGGTCAGATTCTCCCCAGGGGCCACGACAGGGCCCTGCAGGGTCAGGAGGGAGGGCTTCCTAGACACGCCTGGAGGGAAAGAAGAGTCGGGACTAGGAGGGCTGGTTCCTCCCACACCCCTTCCTTCTCCCCTCCTGGCCCTGCAGGTCTCACTGTCTCTCACACTCAGTGTCTCTGGGCTCAGGAGTCCCAAACTTCCCTTGTTCCACCCTCCTACATGGGGCTCCGTGAGAGTAAGTTCTCAAAAATAAATAGGGCAAGGAGGAAGACATCCATACCTAAGACCAGGATCTCCATGGTATCACTGGGTTCCGACCACACCCAGGGGAAGTTCGTGTAATGCCCATAGCATCTGAACATCCACCGGTGACTGGCAGCCACACGGCCCACAGGGAACAGGGCCAGGGACAAGGGACAGCCCCTTGGAGAGTTCCTGTGAGTCCAGCATCCAGGAGAGCTTGTTTTCTCCTTCCTCAATCAAAATGAACCTGTGAAATCCCACCCTTGAGCTACACTGGATGGTCACGTTCTCTCCTGAGGTCACCACAGGGCTCGGCAGGGCTGAGAGAGTGGGTTTTCTGTGGGCTCCTAGGAGAGAAGGAGACACTGTCTTAAATGGGGCTCACGCGTCCCACATCATCCCCCAGGGCTGAGTTATTAGAACGGAGATGCCCTTGAGAGCTGACCCCCTTCCTGCAGGCAGAGCCTGGGGCTGGGACCCCTGAGTGTCCTCTTACCTGTCACCACCAGCTCCAGGGGCTCGCTGCGCTCTGACCAGCCTGCAGGGCTGAGATAGTGACAGTGGTATCTCCCTGCATGGTGCTCTCTCATGGATGGGATGAAGAAGTTGGTCTTGTTCCTGGGCTCTGGTGGGCTCTGTTGGTACCAGGTCATGGGGTTTCCTTCCTTGGTGAGATAGTAACCCTGGGTATCCAGGGTCCCCTGGCACCAGAGGGTCATGGGGCTCTCCCAGGTAATCACAGAGCCTGGCTCAGCCCAGAGGCTGGGTTTGGGGAGGGTCCCTGGAAGAAACCACAGGCTGGGGTCCACAGACCTCCCCCGCTCCTCATTCCCAGCTCAGGTCACAGACCCTCTTGATTTTCTCACCCTCAGTTCAGAAGCCCCTGAGATGAGAGTCCAGGTGCTGAGTGTGAGGTCAGGCATGGGAGGTTAGCAGAGACTCACCTGCAAGTGCTTGGGCTTTCTGGCCCAGACTCAGCCATGGAGAAGAGTTTCCTGTGGGGGATTTGGAACACAGAGGTGTGGCTGCTTCCCTTCCTGTTGGAGCACCAGTAGCCACTGGAGCCCTGAGGCTCTCTGGTGAACAAGGCTGCTGTGGGACCCTCCCCACCTCAGCCCAGTGCCCCTCCTGTCCCTCGTCTCTCCACCACTGACTGAGGCACAGAAGAACAGTGAGGATGGACACCATGATGCCTGCTCTGCGTGCTCCAGCTGTGGGACAGGTGACCACATGGCCCTCCATGACAGACAGATGCACGGATGTGGTTAAGTCAGAGCCTGCTGCCGCCTGCCTGGGTCCCCACAGCTGTGAACCCACAGGAAGTGGACAGCCCCTTGCTGGGCCTGTCTCTTATTCCCCCCCCAGTGCAGGGGCTCAGGAGGACCCAGGCCCTCTGCACACATCTCAGCCCAGACCTGAGGTGTCCCCTGATTGCCAGGGATCCTTTGTCTGAAAACCTGCCCGTGGAGGGTGGACCCAACATCATATCTATGTCAGCTCCCAACTTAGCTGGGTCTAAACTGAAAACACAGCCCTTATTTTCTCAGAGCCTCCACTCATGACATCGGCTTTCTTTTTCCCCACTGATGCAAAGACAAATATTTCCCAGCAGAAAGTCATCCTGATCTGGAGAGACCCATTTCCTGCGTTCAGTAAATAAAGTCAGTTTCATTAGGGGAGGCTCTGGGAAAATAAGGGGATGCAGACTAGCAGAAGATGAACATTTAGCTACTTGTTTCTCAATTAATTGATTTATTACCAAAGAGAGAGAAGTGGAAACATGAGAATAGGGACCATGACTAGAATGTGGTTGAGGGAATGGTTTCTATCTTATTCCCTGGCAGAGAACTAAGGGATAAGAATGAGAAAGCTGGCTGGGTGCAGTGGCTTACACCTGTAATCCCAGCACTTTGGGAGGCCGAGGCAGGAAGATCACAAGGTCAGGAGTTCAAGACCAGCCTGACCAACATGGTGAAACCCCTGTCTCTACTAAAAATACAAAAACTAGCTGGGTGTGCTGGCATGCGCCTGTAATCCCAGCTACTAGGGAGGCTGAGGTGGGAGAATCGCTTGAACCTGGGAGGTGGAGCTTGCAGTGAGCCGAGATCGCGCCACTGCACTCCAGCCTGGGCAACAAAGCCGGACTGTCTCAAAAAAAAAAAAAAAAAAAAAAAAAAAGAAAGAGAGAAAACCCAGCAGTGAGAGGTAGTTGTGAGAACACACTAAAGAGGAAAGATAATCCAGGGCTGGGAGTGGTGGCTCATGCCTGTAATTCCAGCACTTTGGGAGGCTGAGGCTGGCAGATCACAAGGTCAGGAGTTCGAGACCAGCCTGACCAACATGGTGAAACCCTGTGTCTACTAAAAATGCAAAAATTAGCTGGGTGTGGTGGTGGGTGCCTGTAATCCCAGCTACTCAGGAGGCTGAGGTGGGAGAATCGCTTGAACCCAGGAGACGGAGGTTGCAGTGAGCTGAGATTGCACCACTGCACTCCAGCATAGGCAACAAAGCCAGACTCTGCCAAAAACAAAAACAAAAACAAAAACAAAAACAAAAAACAAGAAAGCTCAGTGAGAGGTGGTTGTGAGAACACACTAAAGAGGAAAGATCATTCAGGGCTGGGAGTGGTGACTCACGCCTGTAATCCCAGCACTTTGGGGGGCCACAGGCGGGTGGATTACCTGAGGGCAGGAGTTCAAGACCAGTCTGGCCAACATGGTGAAACCTCGTCTCTACTAAAAATACAAAAACTAGCTGGGTGTGATGGCGGGTGCCTGTAATCCCAGCTACTTGAGAGGCTGAGTCAGGAGAATCTCTTGAACCCAGGAGGCAGAGGTTGCAGTGAGCTGGGATCGTGCCACTGTACTCTAGCCTGGGTAACAGAGCAAGGCTCTGTCTCAAAAAAATAAAAATTAGAAAGAAAAAAGGAGAAGGAGAAGAGGAAGGAGACAGAAAGGAGAGAAACATCCCTGAGGTGGAACATTACATGCAACATGGAGTAGGCAGGGAATCCGATAGAGCACTGAAACTCTCGCTGGGTACGGTGGCTAACATCTGTACTCCCAGCACTTTGGGTGGCCGAGGTGGATGGATCACCTGAGGTCAGGAGTTTAAGACCAGCCTGACCAACATGGTGAAACCCCATCTCTACTAAAAATACAAAAGGCTGGGTGTGGTGGCTCACGCCTGTAATCCCAACACTTTGGCAGTCTGATACAGGCGGATCACATGAGATCAGGAGTTTGAGACCAGCCTGGCCAAGATGGCAAAACCTCATCTCTACTAAAAATACAAACATTACCTGGCTGTGGTGGCAGTCGCCTGTAATCCCAGCTATGCAGGAGGCTGAGGCAGGAGAATCGCTTGAACCTGAGAGGTGGAGGTTGCAGTGAGTCAAGATCGTGCCATTGCACTCCAGCCTGGCCAATAGGAGCAAAACTCCATGTGAAAATAAAATAAAATAAAATAAAATATAATAAAATAAAATAATAAATCAAAAAAGGACTGGACATCTCCTGTGGGTTGTCAGTGAATGGAACTAAGCAAGCCACCGCTCTTTCCCTTTTGTCCCGCAAGTGTCTTTCTTGGCCTCCAGGAAGTGAGTTCCATCATGTCAGACCCTATGTTTGTTCCTGCTGGGTTCACTGAGGCTCCTCCCTTTCCACCTGTGGCTCCCCATGGGTTCCCAGTCCCCAGCCAGTGTTGTGAATCGAGCCAGGAAGACCAGCCCTATCACACCCCTCCTGATGGAATTCCCACAGTGTCATCCTGGAGAACAGGGGCTGGGGGCTGGGGTAGGATCAGAGACCTTTTCATGTGGGCCAGGCCCCTCCCTCCACAGGAGCTCTGACACGAAGCTCATCACCATTCATTTCACCCTGACGATATTCTTCCTGCCCAGACACCCCCGTTCTCCCTATGTCATCATGGGCACCTCAGTGAAATCCATGGTTGAGGGTCTCTGTCACTTACTCTGCCCTCTTCTTGGAAAATTTCCTTGGATCCTTCCAGAGCCCTTCCTGAGTGTGCTGCAGGGTCTCTGCCACATGACACACTCTCAGGAACCCTCATCCTCCCCTTAATCTACTGCGCCCACATAGCCAGGTGCAGGCTCCGTTTCTTCATCTTCCCTTCCCCACAGGCCCCGATGGAGAGTGGATTAGACTCGCTCCTGAGTAGGGACTCAGGTCACTCTGACCCCTTCCTCCCTGTGGACGAGGCCTCTGTCCCAGAGCTTTGGAGGCTGAAGGGCCTTGTGGATTCCCGCACTGGCCACAGTCTCCGATGCAGATGGGGAACTGGGGACCTGGGAGGGGTTGCCTAGCCCAAGGCCACATAGCTGGGCGGTGGCACAGCCTTCACTCACACAGGGACATTCCATCTTCCCAGGGACTTCACACTGGAGGCTAAGAGCCCCACTTTGCACACCACATTCAGGGGTAGATTCTGTGTGTGACTAACAAGTTCTCTTAGGGTTCCGAGGTAACAGGACAGCAAATGGATGAGTGAGAGTTTCCCTCACCCCACTGAAGTAGGACCATTCTCTGTGGAGGGTTGGTCCCCTGACTTCCTCTACTCTGTCATCTCCCTAGTGACTGATAGGGGTCCTGGGGTCTCTTCCCTGGAATCCCATGAGGGACAATTCCTTTCCTGAAGGGAAGGTATAGAGAGGACTAGCAGGTGCCTGGTGATGGAAAGTCCCCATAATCAAGAGACATTGCCTCCCCCCCCCGGCATGATAAATATCTGGGTTTCCAAATGGGAAATCTGTCTGTGATGAGAGCTCAGGAGGGGCTTCTGGAAGATGGAAAAGGGCTAGAGGCTGAGGCCACTGCTTATCTCCCCACACTGTATCTGGCTTCACCTCCTGTGTTTGTCCTGACCTCTTCCTTCACTCACCTGGATAAGTAGGACCCCAAAGTGGGCCTCCAGACAGGAAGCAGTGGAGAGTGTGGAGCTGCCCTGTCTACCACCCTACACCCTGACACCACTGTCATACTCAACCTCTCTTTTCCTCTTTGTGTTTCTCATTGCTTCATTTTGTCTGGAATCCCTAAGATTCCCATGTCTCCAGCAGGCTGTCCCTCAGACGTGGCTATATGATTTAGTGTTTCACAGGGCATGCAGCAGGCATGGGCTACCCCCAGTAACAGTGGTCATCTAGGGCTGATCACTCACAGGCAGAGCCATCGACAGAGAGCTGCAGCATCTAGAGGTCCCATCACCAGCCCCAAGACCCAGAGAGAAGTTGGCCTGAATGCCCCACTCTGTCTCTGCACCCCAGTGAGCCAGTGTCCAGGGGCCTTACCTTCCTCGTTAGAAGGCACAGGTCAAATGAGCTTCCAGAGCTGCAGAGCAAAGTCACATTCTCTCCATCATTACTTACTGCAGGGCACAGTTGAGCTGAGAAGGAAGGTCTCTTGTAGACGCCTGGGGAAAAAAATAGTCCTTGACTGTCGAGCACAAGCCTTACCCAGCCTATCCTCAGGGCATGAAAAAGGCATTCTCTCCACCTGTTCTGGGGAGCACACTCTGTTACCCACTCGTGCCTCTCTCCATCTCAGTTCTAGCTCTACAAGCTGGCTCATCATGTGTGTGTTTTCCTGTCTGTCTTTGCTCAGCTTTTCCTTGAATCTCTTGCTTTTTGCCGGTGCGTGTGTGGCTTTCTGCCCTTAGAACCATATGAGATTTAGGGTTCTCCTGGCACATAGAACTGTTTACTTTGAGGACCCTCAGAAAACATAGCCCTGGGCTAAGGCTCCCTGTCCTGGAACTAGAAGGTTATGGGTGTCACCATTTCCCAACAGCATGTCTGAAAGTGCCAGAATCTTCAAAGAGTCTGCAACATGTTTGTAGGATCTTTATAGGGTCTGATATTGCAGGGACCAACCAAAGTGCCCTCACACCCCAAGACGCTGGAAGTGACCCCTTGCTGAAAGTGGTTGGAAGTTTCACATAGAAGTTTGAGTTAAGCCACATTGCTGAGCAATGCCTCAGCATCCCAGTCTTCATCCAGACCTTCCAGGAGCCTGGCTGGAGGGGGTGTCTCTGGTGTGTCACTGAGCCTTATAGCAGAGGAAGGGGGCTATGGTGGAAACTACCTCCAAGATACCACTCAGTCCTAAGCTGGGGAACAAGCTGAGCTTGGATTCTGGTAGTGAATGAACCGGGAAACATTTATTTGAAGGGTTCTAAGAGTAGCATCGTGTGGGTGCGTTAATTGTATGTGAAGGGGAAGATCCTGAGAAAACAAGAGCTGCTCCACTCTGTGCCTGGGTTTACCAGAGGGACCGATGAGGTCCTCACAAGACCCAGGAATCCCACCGGGGGAAGGAGGCTTAGGGAGATGTGTTTAAGACTGTTAAGTGAGTCACAGACAGAAGCAGATCAAGCCATCCCACCACCTAGGTTTGTGGTTTTGTTTCTCCTAAACTTCCTTTCTGTAAGTAGCAGAACCTTCTCATCACCATCCTTCAAAACCTCTGCATTGTTTGAGCTCCTTGTATTTTCTGGAGATTAATCTCTTGCTTGCAAATATTCTTTCCCATTCTGTAGGTGGTCTCTTCACTCTGCTGTTTGTTTCCTTGATTGTGCAGAAGGTTTGCAGTTTGCTATGATCTCATTTGCCTATTTTTGCTTTTGCTGCCTGAGCTTTTGAGGGTTTTTTTTTTTTGTTTTTTTTTTTGAGACGGAGTCTCGCTCTGTCACCCAGGCTGGAGTTCAGTGGCATGATCTCAGCTCATTGCAACCTCCGCCTCCCGGGTTCAAGTGATTCTCCTGCCTCAGCCTCCCTAGTAGCTAGGACTACAGGCGAGTGCCACCACACCCGGCTAATTTTTGTATTTTTAGTAGAGGCAGGGTTTCACCACGTTTGGCCAGGCTGGTCTCAAACTCCTGACTTCAAGTGATCCACCCACCTTGGCCTCCCAAAGTGCTGGGATTACAGGCGTGAGCCACTGCGCCCGGCGTTGTATTGGATTTTTAATTCAGCCCTATTTTCTCCGACATTTGATATTGGCATTTTTGTCTTTTTTGGATATGCTAGGATCATGGTGTCATAATTTAATTTTAATTTTTATTTTTATTTTAAGTTCCGGGGTACATGTGCAGAATGTGTGGGCTTATTGCATAGGTCAATGTGCGCCATGGTGGTTTCCTGCACCTGTCAACCCATCACCTAGGTATTAAGCCCAGCATACATTAGCTATTTTTCCTAATGCTCTCCCTACCCCTACCCCACCCCCCCCCCGACAGGCCCCAGTGTGTGTTGTTCCCCTCCCTGTGTTCACGCATTCTCATTGTTCAGCACCCACTTGTAAGTGAGAACATGCAGCGTTTGATTTCCTGTTCCTGTGTTAGTTTCCTGAGGATAATGGTTTCCAGCTCCATCCATGTCCCTGCAAAGGACATGATCTTGTTTCTTTTTATGGCTTCATAGTATTCCGTGGTGTATATGTCTCACATTTTCTTTATCCAGTCTATCATTGATGGGCATTTGGGTTGATTCTATGTCTTTGCTATTGTGAATAGTGCTGCGATGAACACATGTGTGCATGTATCTTTGCAATAGAATGATTTATATTCCTTTGGGTATACGCGCAGTAATGGGACTGCTTTTACCTGTGCCAAAATACTGAAGTAGAAATGATTATTCACTCTAAAATGGAAGGTAATAAGATGTATACGTGAGCTATCAGATGCCTGGTGCTTATGAGTGAAGACAAGTCTGTCCAACGCTTCCCAACCCTGCATTCAGGGATGTCTCGTTGGCATCTTGATTATGGCCATGAAAAAAGAATTTACGTCAAGGAAATTGGTAAATGCCACTAATCATAGCATTTCAAAAAATGTCTTTTTCAGAATTAGCATACCATTGGGTCGTGACTTCAAATGCCAGTGTGTTGATTCCAGGTGGTGATATTTCAGGAGAAACTACACAGATAGCATCTGATAAGGAGGGAAGAGCTCATAGGGTCCACACAGGAGGTGAGGGCATCACGGTGCATTTATCTTTTCCTGGTCGGACTCTGATCTTCTCCCGTTGAATTAGTTCCTAAACCAGGTGCGGAACTCTGAACTGAAGACATGAAGACCCAGTAAAGTACACCAGGAAGTGTGGCAATGAGAAATGAAGAGGACTGTGTGACACGCCATGGACCAGAGCATGCAGGTGTGCAGAGGTGTGGACCCAACGCTGCCATGTGGGATGGAGCCTCATGTCTAAGTGTGGGAAAAGAGGCAGATCCAACCAAGGAAAGTCAACATTAATGGAGAGGAAAGGTATCACATTTTAATGGTTCTCCATGGATCACCCCAGAAAATGTCCCTGCACTCGGACATTGATTCCTTCCTCTGGAAATGACCAGCAGACAGTCCAGATAGCATCGGCCCTAGATTTTCTTCCAGAACCTCCTGGGATCATCAGATCTGTTCCTGAGGCTTCACGACTCTATAAAGTACATTATCCTCTCTGCTGTTCACCTCCCGGCTGCATCTTGGGAAGCTTCTCTGGCTGTGCCAAGCCTCAAATGACAGAATCCCGAGGACCACCAGGATCAAGCCAGCCACGCCCATGTGGATGAGATTCTCCACTGCGTAATCCTGAAGGTGTGAGGCTGGGGATGGTGGACAAAGAGGTCACAGAGGTCAGGGTGGATCAGATTGTCCACCCAGGGCACCCACCTCCCCTTCACAGGACCCAACCCTCAGTGCCAGCCCCATCACTGAGAGTATCTCCTCACATACCAGTCTCAGAGTCAGACTTGTTTTGTGATGGGCTGAGGGTATCAGCTGCTCCAGAGAATCAAAACAGAGAAAAAGAGACCTGAGCCCAGCCTCTCACCTGGGCTCTGCAATTTTTTTTTTATTACTTAATGTCTCATGATGTGACTTTTACAGAATTTCTAAAAAAAAAAAAAAAAAACCTCTTCCTCCGCTAGCAGGATTCCCTCTAGTCTCCTCATTGAACGATTTCAGTTTTCCTGTGTTCTATGGATTTAAACATTGCTCCTGAGTCATCTGGGAGAGAGTTTTCCTGCATCCTGAGAGCTCAGGATCTGCAAGGAAAGTGGTCCCCAGTACAGAGGTCACTAAGGCCTGTGTGCTCTCTGTGCAGCCTGGGACACAGGAGAACATGAGCCAACTCCCCCGGAGATGAGAGTTTCACGGATCCACCAGCTGAGGACCCAGGCTCCGTGGATGAGGGTTAGTCATCAGGGGAGCCTCAATGTCAGAAGCACAAAGGGGTGAAATTCTGGGGCTGCCTCCCCTTCATGCCCTCAGCCACTTCACCTGGAGTTTCATTGTCCATTTAATCTCTAGGTAGCTAATTATTCGTATAGGCAGCAACAGGTAGAATGTGATACACACACAGAAAAACACAAACACAAATATATATCTGTTTTATATATATAGTGGGCCTTAAAAACTATCTCTGCCTTCTTGAAGTGTGGGTTCACCTGGAGACAAACAGCAAACATATAGAAACACAGCAGTGGAAATTTACTAGTCGTAGCAATGGTTTTAGATATATTGGTAGAGACCTATATTTATGTGTGAATATATATTATTTGTATAGATATACGGATAACTAGGTTTCAATGTCACGTAAGATGTTGGTGTGACCACACACGCGCACACACACACACACACGTATATGCAGAGAGTGGAAGAGAGAGAGAAGGAATTCAGCCGCATGGTGTAGGTTGGTTAATTACTTGACATAAATGAGAAGCAGGCAGGACTGGGCTGAGCTGTGTCGTCAGTGAAGGTCACACTTGGAGGTGACATTGAAGCTGATTCCTCAATAGGAAAAAGGGCCAGGAAGGAGGCGTGTGGAGACCCAGACAGGGAGCAACAGAGGCTCCAGAAAGAGCAGGTCCCAGAAAGGTCTCAGCCTGTTCTTCAGAAAGGAATGGCCGCTTGTCTACAGGGTGGAGGAGGAGGCAGAGGAGGAGGGGAGATGAGCTTCGGGGCCTTGGTGGATTGAGAATAGGCCAGGATGAACCGGCCAGGAAAGAGCGGCCCCAATATCTCTCTCTCTGTCTCTCTGTCTCTGTCTCTGCCTCTCTCTCCCTCCCTCTGAGGTCTGGAAAGTGCTGTAGGGTTTCAAGGAGTGGTACCAGTCATTTGACTTTTTCTGAAAAGATAAGCCCTACCCCCTCCATAGCAAATGTCCAGAACGAAGGAAGTCCACATTTCTACCTGAAGTTTACAAAACCTCAGGGAGCACGTGAGATCAGGGCTATTACGAAACCGGGTGAGAATAAAAATAGGTGATGCTGCAAATCTACTTTCACCAGCTTGGACAAAAAGGCCAATATGAGATTTTAAAAACCCAAATAAAAAATGTCAACGGCGCAGAAGAGGAGCGGTGCACATTCCCTGAGCTGCTGCGGGAGCACGTGCAAGTCCCTGTGAGGCTCAGGTGTGCGCTGAGTGCTGGGGAGGCTGCAGGGGAAAGCAGGAAGTGGGGCGGGGTGGGGGGGGGTCGGGGGTGGATGCAGGTGGCACCGGCAGCCTGGATGCTTCTCTCTCCAGGAGGGCGTCTGTTGGGGACTGGGACACAGAGGCTCTGATTCTGAGGTGGAGACACCAGGATGGGAGCAGGTGGGGCCTCCGTCTTCCACCCTCAGTCTAATCTCAACTCCTTTGAGGTTCACCCCCCGTCTCCTCCCAGCCCTCCCTGCACTTTACTCTACTGAGACTTCAGGGGTGGGAGCCAGGGGTGGGAGGTCCCTGTCTATTTCCATCTTCCCATGGGCTGGACCCTCCCCTGCGGACCCTCTCCCTTCACTCCCCTCTTTCCTTAGTGTCCAGAGCTCTGCTGGGGGCAGGGCCTGAGCTGAGCCTTTGAGCTCAGAGAGGACAGGGTCAGCGCCCTCACCTGAGACCACGAGCTCCACGGGGCCACTGGGGTGAGACAGCAGGTAGGGGTCGGAGCTGAGTGAGCCGTAGCACCTGTAGGTCCCCGTGTGGGCTGAGGTCACAGGACTCATGGGGAATTC